>NC_000022.11:37497442-37648957 GCF_000001405.40 Homo sapiens | reverse complement strand
GCCGAGGCTGGTGGATCACGAGCTGAGGAGATCGAGACCACCCTGGCTAACACGGTGAAACCCTGTCTCTACTAAAAATACAAAAAATTAGCCGGGAGTGGTGGTGCGCACCTGTAGTCCCAGCTACCTGGCAGGCTGAGGCAGAAGAATCGCTTGAACCCGGGAGGCGGAGGTTGCAGTGAGCCGAGATTGCGCCACTGTACTCCAGCCTGGGCAACAAGAGCAAGACTCCATCTCAAAAAAAAAAAAAAAAAAAAGAACCCGATCTCTGGGCTCCCAGCTCCCCCATGCCACTAAACACCTCATCACCACCACTGGCCAAAATGCCAGAATTGCCTCTCTCCAAAGCCCTGTGGCCTGCACAGCCCCTTTGGCCTGTTCCTCACGGCAGCCTCAAAAACAGGAGCTGCTCAACCCACTCCAAAAATGGGGACACCAAGGCCCCGGGGAAAAATAGACAACAGATAGTTGGGATGGGATCTGCCTTCCTCCTGCCACCTCCCCCAGCCCGCGGCCCCTCACCCTTCTTTCTCAGGTGGCCACAGCAAGTTGGGTCCCAGGACTATGGCGATGTTGCTGGGTGTCATCTTGTTCACCTCCTGCTCCTCGGCCAGCCGTGCCAGGAACTTCATCAGGTACCTAAGGGCGGAGGCAGGCTTAGGCCAGGGGCAGAACGCACCCAGCCCTGAGAATTCTCCAGCCCAGGGTTTCCAAAGAGTGTGAAAGACACCGCCCAGAATGGTCTTAACATTGTCACAGTTAAATCAGCTTATCCACTGAGTGCCAACCCTGCAGTGGGCACTGAGCCAAGCTGAGTCCTCAGCAGCCACCCTACAGGGTAGAGATTGTTACAGTCTGCATTTTCCAGATGATGACGCTGAGTGGCCTGCCCAGAGGTGGCATGTGAAGCCAGGCGGTATGGCTTCAAAAGTTCAAGGTCTCATTTATTTCAATGCTTCGCATAAAAATGTGTGACTAATCCGGCTGGGCGCAGTGCCTCACGCCTGTAATCCCAGCACTTTGGGAGGCTGAGGCGGGTGGATCACCTGAGGTCAGGAGTTCAAGACCAGCCTGACCAACATGGTAAAACCCCACCTTTACTAAAAATACAAAAATTAGCCGAGTGTGATGGCAGGCGCCTGTAGTCCTAGCTACTCGGGAGGCTGAGGCAGGAGAACTGCTTGAACCCAGGAGGCGGAGGTTGCAGTGAGCCAAGACTGCACCACTGCACTCCAGCTTGGGCGACAGAGTGAGACCCTGTCTCAGAAAAAAAAAAAAAATTATATATATAAATGACTAATCCATCAAAGCTGCATTTTCAGTAATATTTCTTAGGATACAGTGGCAAGGCCAGGCTCAAGCCCAGGGTCCCAGGGTCCGTGACCTCAGCTGGGCTCTGGCTCTGCGGCAGGCTGGGGAGGCGGGCTCGGGCTCACCTGAGGTTGCTGAGGTTCTCGGGGGGTAGGCGGCTGCACACCTCTTGGAGGGCCTGCAGCCGGGCCCCTGGCTCCTTCAGGCTGGGGGGGAGTGGAGAGACCTGTCAGCCAGCGCAGGGCTACACCTTTGCATCCTCCTCCTCCCCATCCCCTCCCTCCTCCAACATCCTCACCTGGCTGCCCTCATCCAGTCATCATAGAGGTCGAAGGTCATCAGAGGCTCTGGCAGCTCCCGCAGATAGGACTTGAGGGCACCTGAAGGAGGGGTGTGGGGAGGGTCAGAGGCAGCCCCCACCCGCTCTCCCACTCTCCCTGTAGAAGGAACCTCCGGCCCTTGTTCACACTAACGTGTCTAGGTCTGACAGTTTCTTTGGGCTGTAGGCCCTTTTGAGAAAATGAAGGCTAGCCATCTTGTCCCCAGAAAAATGCCAAACATTTTCGGGGGGCTCATGATGGACCCCACATTAAGAACCCGAGTGTCCTCAGTCTCAACAGAATATCAAGTCTTAAAGCCAGGCTATCTTGGGATCGTTTCAAGCCACTGCACCCCCTCCCCCCCAACCTCCTGCCCAGGGCTCCCCGGATCAGGCACCTGCCACAGCGTGCGGGTCGGAGCAGAACTCCTCCAGGCTGTGGGGGTCCGAGGCCATTGTCTGCTTGAGACGCTTCAGCACCGAGGCCCCAGCAGCCAGACGGAAGAGACCCTGGGTTCGAGAGGAGGCAGGCAAGGGTCACAGAGGGGTGGGCAGGGCAGGACACCCTGGCGCACTTGTAGCCTGGGGTGTGCCACTGGCCTTTGCTAGGCCTGTGTCCCCGCTGGTCTGGCTGGCAGTGTGGGCACCACGGTGTCCACGGGCTTCAACCTTCAAGGTCTAGAATTCTGAGCAAAGGGCAGGGCTGGGAAGTCTGGGAGGAGGCGGGAAAAATCATGGGGAAATGGAAGCCCAGTCAGAAGTGGAAGGGAGGGGCCGGGTGCAGTGGCTCACGCCTGTAATCCCAGCACTTTGGGAGGCCTGTGCAGGTGGATCACTTGAAGCCAGGGGTTTGAGACCAGCCTGGCCAACATGGTGAAATCCCATTTCTACTAAAATAAAAAAAATTAGCTGGGCATGGTGGTGGGCATCTGTAATCCCAGCTACTTGGGAGGCTGAGACACAATCGCTTGAACCAGGGAGGTGAAGGTTGCAGTGAGCCAGGATCGCACCACTGCACTACAGCCTGGGTGACAGAGCGAGATCCTGTCTCAAAAAAAAAAAAAGGGTCGGGCGCAGTGGCTCATGCCTGCAACCCCAGCACTTTGGGAGGCTGAGGCAGGTGGATCACCTGAGGTTAGGAGTTCAGGACTAGCCTGGCCAACATAATCTCATCTCTACTAAAAAATACAAAAATTAGCTGGGCGTGGTGGTGCATGCCTGTAGTCCCAGCTACTTGTGAAGTTGAGGCAGGAGAATCGCTTGAACCCAGGAGACAGAGGCTGCAGTGAGCCGAGATCACGCCACTGCACTCCAGCCTGGGTAACAGAGCAACACTCCATATCTCAAAAAAAAAAAAAAAAAAAAAAGTGTAAGGGAGAAAGGAGGCCCCAGCACAGCAGGATTGCTGAGCAGCGCAGAACTGTTTTGGGGTATCTGCCACCACTAGGGTCTATCTTCAGGACAGGGGGGCAATGTATTCACAGCAGATCCAGCCAGTGTGTGGCAGTGGAGCCCCTGGTTTGAGAAGTCACCTTCTCAAATGACTCTGGGCATGGTTACCTCTCTACCTCTGTCTCCCTCTTGTGAAATTGTGAAATGGAGCCTGGAATGCAAAGGCTTCTAGTACAGCGCTTGGCCCACGCGAGCATTGACACGGGGGAGGTAGTGTGGATGCCGCAGGAGGCAGTCATGTCTTCTCCCAGGGAGCTGGGCTCGAATGAGGGAATTACAGGCACCCGGAAAGGGCAGCAAGTGGGCGGTTTGGGACAGAATGAGGGCCCCAGTGCTCCTTCCCCACCTGCCCCAGGGGACCCCACCTCTTCCTTCATGCCCTCAGAAAGCAGCATCATGACGCAGGCCTCGATGGGCAGGGCAATCTCCCGGCCCAGCTCTTGCAGGTGGGTTGCCAGCGACACCCCATACACCCTGGGGAAGTGGGTGGCTGTCATCGAAGGGGAGTGGTCTGCAGGGATGAAACAGATCAGCGGCCCAGGGCCTTCCCACCCCGAGCAGTCAGGCAGGGGCACCCCCCCTTCATGTCCTCAAGGTGGTACCACCTGCCACTGACTGTCCAGGCACACATCTGAAATCATCCGTCACATCTCTCGAATCAGCCCGCCTCCACTGCCTCTGTCCTAGTCCAGGCCACCGTTGCCTCCTTCTGCCTCACAGGCCTGGCTCTAGTCCTGCCCGCTTCACTCCACCCTCCACACAGTAGCCAGAGCTGCCTCTCCATCACAGATTGAGCCTAGCTCTCAGAACCCATCCACAGCTTCCTGCTACCTTTCAGGATGAAGTGCGAGCTTCTCAATAAGCCCCGAGCAGGGCAGGGTCAGGGGTGTGGTATCGCCGGGCCTATGTCCCCACCTGCTTGGCCGTGGTTCTCCCTCAGCTCAGCCAGGGCTGTGTCCAGCGAGCTCAGTGACCTGCGATGGTAATCGGCCTGAATCTCCAGGAGCTGTGGGGATGAAGGGACACCCTGAGCGGAAGTGGGGGAAGCTGAGCCTTCTATAGGGTCCTTGAGAGCAGACGCCCCCTCCACCATCTTAGAGCCCCAGTGGCCCCTGGCTCTGGCATTCAGCCCCTGAACTCTGGATGGCTGGGGCCCGGTCTTGGACTCACACGAATGAAGTAGTTGGCATAGGAGTCCTCCTTGGTAACAAAGTGGTACAGGTCAGCCAAGTACTCGTCCTTGGGGACAGAGAGGGGAGAGCTTACGTTGGGTGAGGCTGTGGGGTCTAGAGGGGAAGAGGAGGCTTGGAAGGGTTGGTGACCTCCCCCAGGCCACACAACTGCAGGTGGAAGGTCCCAGCCAGGCTCCTCTCTCTGCCAAGGTTGGTGCTTGGGGCCAGCCCCTGGGAACTCCCTCAAACTTTTCTGGCTTCTCGTCCCCATCTCTGTGTCTCCATAGACTTAGCACAGTGCCTTGTTTTTTGTTTTGTTTCGTTTGAGACGGAGTCTCACACTGTTGCCCGGGCTGGAGTGCAGTGGTGCAATCTTGGCTCACTGCAACCTCCGCCTCCTGGGCTCAAGCGATTCTCCTGCCTCAGCCTCCTGAGTAGCTGGGATTACAGGCGCCCGCCACTACGCCCAGCTAAGTTTTTGTATTTTTAGTAGAGACAGGGTTTCACCATGTTGGCCAGGCTGGTCTTGAACTCCTGACCTCATGATTCGCCTGCCTCGGCCTCCCCAAGTGCTGGGATTACAGGCGTAAGCCACCGCGCCTGGCCTTGCACAGTGACCTGTTATTCACCATTCAGTCATTCTTTCATTCACTCTTCATTTATTCATTCACTCGCTCGCTCAGCAAACAAACACATGGAGACTCAGGGAACAGACCAAGTCTCTGCCTTCCCAAGTTATGCATGGGGTACAGACAGAAGAGGCTACGAGGGAATGGCGGAGCTCTGCTGGCTCCTAGCCACGTGGCCTTAGGCAAGTCATGTCACCTCTCTGAACTTCAGCTTCCTTGCCTGTGAGATGGGCCAGGACCCACCCCTGCCACCCCTACATATCCAGGGGACCCCCATGGCCCTCACCCTGCATTGCTCCACTTTCCTCTTCAGCTCCTCCTCCTCCTCCTTCAGCGTCTCCACCTTGTTGGCCATGGTCGTATGGCTGTGACTACCCGGGCTGCCTCCTAGGCCTTGACTGCTGCCTGAATTCTTGGTTGCCTGACTGAGCCTGGAGATGATCCCAAGGTGAGCTGGTCACCTGCCCTGTTGCATGTCCAGAGCCAAGTGTCCCCTCCATACAGCAGACCACATGGGATTCTAGGATTTAGAGCTGCAGATCTGAGAGCTCCACTGGCCGGGGCCTCTGCCCAGGCTGGGCCATGAGTGCTCTGGGTTGCCCCCTGGTGGCAGATTTGGTGATCACAGCCACTCCACAGAGGGGAGAACAGGGCTGCCGCAGGACTGTTTACAGGATCCCAGGCTTTAGGGTTGCCCCAGCACCAGCTGTGACACACGCGGGCACACCCTCACAGATACGCTAACCACCTGTGCTCCTAGGGACCAGGCGTGCACAAGTACACACACTGTACTCAGCAGACCCCACAGCATCCTCCTGGTGTGGCCAGGGCCTCAAAGCTCTATGACCATCTCTGTGGGCTGACCCAGATATGAGCCCCCTGAGCGGCTGGGGCTCCCACCTGCTCTTGAGTGTGTTCCAGTCGGACACGAGCTTCTGGAGGCTTTTCTTGTGTTTGAGGATGGCTGGCAGCTCCTCCTGGGGATGGGCATGGGGGGGTCAGTGTGCTGGGGGAGGAGGGAGCCAGAAGCTGGGGAAGCTGGGGGCTGAAAGCAGGGCACAGGCTCACCTCACTCAGCCTGCTGAGTGGCTGCAGGACGTCCCTCTCCAGGGTCATCTCAAACTCGGCCAGGATGCGGGCCAGCTGATTCTGGATGGCACAGCTCATCTCCAAGGCCTTCCTGTGGACACGGCACCCCATGGGTCCAGGCGCCCGCTGCCCTCACCTCCACTGGAAACACTTGGTGGGGCCTCTCCTCCCTCACTTCCGGCCCCTCCTAGATATCCTTCATCTCTGCTAAGCTGAACACCCTCCCAGGCCTGGCCACCCTCACTGACCTGGGAACTGTCCCCAGCCTGGTCATTCTTCTGATGTGGATGCCCTCACCACCTGGACCCCCTCCCAGCTGAGATCACGTCTTGGTATCCCCAGGTGAGGGCTGGGCCCCGTCTGTGCTCACCCCATGCTGGAATCAGGGTCCAGCTCCTTGAAGCTCTCAGCCATCGTGGTGGACAGAGCCATGAGGGGAAGCTTCTTCTGCAGGGAGGGTGGGGCCGGCGATGAGTGTCCGTGCCTCCCTCCACCCTGCCTGAGCACCAGGCCAGCCCCTTGGGGCAGGGGAGGAGGGAACCCAGGAGGGCCACAGTCCCAGATGAGAGTGGAAACAAGATGACAAGGCGTGGTGGGGGTGACATTTCCCTGAGAGCATGGATGGAGCCCCTCTCCATCTGGCGTGCCCTTTCCTCTTCCCAGAAGCCACTTGACTGGGCAGGAAGGAATGACCAAGTCCTACTGCAGACTGGGAAACTAAGATGCAGGGAGGGCAGGGAGCTTGCCCCAGGTCACACAGGTGGAGGGAGAATGGGAGCGGGAGCTCTTTCCCCTGTCCCAGGGTATATATGGCTGACCTAGCCACCGCTGAGTTCAAACGCTCTATGGCTCCCAATTTCCTTGCCTTGGCCACACTGAATTGTCAACTGATTCCAAAACATGGCCCCACACTCCCACCCCATCTGGAGTTACGGGGAATGCCTGCTCTGGGATCAGAGACCAGGGTTCAAACCTCAGTTCTGCCACTTACTAGCTATGTGACCTTGGACAAGTGACTTTATCTCTGAGCCTCCAGTTCCTCATGTGTAAAGCAATGCCTGCCCCTAGGGTTGTGCCAGTGTTCCATGAGACAGTGCACTCATATGTTAGTAACAAGCTGGCGGTTATCAGCCAATAAACGCTGCCTCTTGATTAATAAACGTGTATCCCTCAAAAGCCAGCTCAATTGCTACCTCCTTCAGGAAACCCTCTGAGGCCGCCCCATTGACAGCCTGCTCTTGCGCACTGATTGGACAGAGAAGTTCAGGTGCTGTCAGAAGCCTGGCCTTGGCTTATGGGAACTGGTGCACAGGGAAGTGGGGTAAAGGTGATGGGGAAGGTATAGGGCCTCTTGAGTGCAGTGCCAGAGGGGCCTTGGAACAGAGCAGTCTCCATGCCCTTGGTGCCAGACACTCAGACTGGCAAGGAAACCCCAGCCCCGACCTTGCTTCCCCATTGGATGGAAGTCTCCTGCTCAGGCCCCTCCTTCCCGGGACCCCCCACTCACCACCCGCTTGTCCATGTCTGCCCCGCTCTGGCCCTGCAGACAGGCCTGCAGCCGCTTGTGGATGTTGTGGGCTGCCCGCTTGGCCGGCTCCAGCCGCTGTTCTACCTGGGAAGGAGGTATGGAGGTTAAGGATCAAGAGAGGCTGTCTCCCCCTGAGCAGGAAACTTTCTCCTGTCCCCTGGGGACCCCATGGCCAACAGCTTGAGGAATGACTCAACCCAGGCCCCTACCTGGCGTCCCCGCCCCGGCCCTCTGCTCCGAGACAGCCTGCACAGGCCTGCCTTCCCACCTGCCCGGCCCAGGCACGTACCTGCAGCAGGTCCTCACCCAGGAACTCAGCGGTCTCCGGGGTGCTGCGGGGAGTGGTGGGGGGGGGGGGGAGAGTGCTTCTGCTGAGCCTGCCTGGGTTAGAACGCCCCCTACTTCCCTTCCCCGCAGCAGGGCACCTGGACCCCAGTGCTTCCACTGTCCCTCCCAGCTGAGGCCTGCCCTGGGTGGCCCAGTTGCTTCATCCCAGTCGGAGCACATTCCATGGGGGTGGGAATAGGATACATGGGTTTTTCCTCCTCCACCCAGGGCTGTGTCCTGAGAGAGGGCGGACAGATGAAACTAAAGGGGAGGCTGAGAGACCCACCCGGGGCCCAGCTTTGGGACACAGAAGCCTCTTTTCTGCCCACTCCCAAATCCTCAGCCCACCCCGGGATGAGGAGTATTAGCTGGCCCCAAGAACGGGAAGTGCAGGAGCTCAGACTCCTAGGCACAGTCACACAGCACTCTGGACTACAGCTGTGGGCAGGGGTGCACAGGCCCTTGGCCCCCACCTGGGGACACATGGGGGATGCCAAGGCCCACTGCAAGGTGGTCTGACTGTCCAGGCTATGTAGGCATCTGTGCCAGTGTGAGACTAGAACCAGGTCTCTGGACACCCAGTCCCCTCCCTGGACCCAGAGAATGGGGAACTCCTGAGGCTGGGGGAAGAGGAGCAGAGAAGACAGGCTCTGAGAGGCTCCCCAAACTTCCGGCCTCCGTGCCACCGGCTCAGAGGCTGGGGGTGGGAGCTGGGAGACCTGGGGATATTTCCACCTGAGTCCAGGAAAAGCAGAAACGAGACAGAAGCAGGAGGCCCCTGGGCTGGGGGGAGGGGGAGGGGGAGGGACGCTGCAGGCCAGGGGCAGGCCCCTCCTCCCACCAGGCCAGGACCCATCTCCTCCCCTCGCCCCAGGTCTGTGGCCCTAATCGACCCTCCTCCCTCCCCGGCCCAGCAAGCAGAGGTGGTGAACTGTCCCATTGTCCAGAGGGGACAAGTGAGGTCAGGAGGACCATCCACTTAGAGACTCGTGGAGGCAGAGAAGTCCCAGCGTCCTAGGGCAGAGAGCATTCTCCCGCCTGAAGCCCCCTCCAATCCGGTAAGGGGGGGCATCCCTTCCCCCAAAGGCCACCCTTGCTCCTCCAGCTCTGCCCGAGAGACGGGGGCGGCGTTCAGAGAGGAGGAAGAGAGAGCAGGAGTCTGGCCGCTCAGAGGGTGGCTGCCCAGCTGTCCCCAGCCTCCCCCACCCCCGTCTCCCCCGACCCTTTTACGACCCCTCAAGTCCTGCCGGGGTAAGAGTGGGGCTGGAAGCGGGTGACACTCACCGTCCCAAGCTGCCCGTCTGGGCCAGCTGCCGCATGCGGTGCAGCTGCCTCTTCATCATCTTGGGGGCGAGCTGGGGGCTGCGGGGTCACGGCGGGGGTCGCGGGCCCGGGGAGCCCCCGGTCCAGCCTGCCTCTCCTGCGGCGCGGCTCTTGCCCCGGATGGGTGGGCGGCGCTCTCGCTTCCTGGGCCGCCGCGCGGCTCTTGCTGGCGGCCGGCTCTCTCCTCCCCCGCTCACGACTCCGCCCCCGGCCCCCAGGTCACTCCTCTCTCCAAGTTGGTTTCCTCGCTCTTCCCCGGCTTCCGGGCCCCCGGGCGACCCCCGGCCGGGCCCCCGCTGCTGTGTGTCCGCCGGCCGCGGCCGTCCACAGGTTGTGCCCGGCTCCTCCTCCCCGCAGCGCCCCGCCCAGCCCCGGTGGCGGGAAGCAGGTAAGCCCATTCCTGCCCCTGCGCCCGCAACCCGCCCCAGGCGGGGTGCCTGCCCCACCCGCAGCCTGCAGACCCGAAGTATAAATAACCTTTGCATCCCTCGCAAAGAGGAAAGGGTACCAAGCGAAAGAGGGGTAGGCCTTTCTGACCTGTCCTGGCCTCTCTGGGCCTGCCGCGGATACTGCCTTGCACTCTCTTCCGCAGAGGACCTCTGGCCCCCTGGAACTAAACCCCCCACCACTGGATGACTGGCTGGGAGCTTTGGCTTCCTGGGGCCACGGGCTGCTGTGTGGCCGTGGACAAGCCCCTGGAACTCCGGACTCGCTGTTTCTAATGGTCTGATGGGCCAGCTGTCCTGGGCCTGCCCATTCTGCAGAGTGGACAAGACACCCCTGCCAGCTCCCTTTAAGGGAGGTGCGTGCCACCCCTCAGCCACCAGGAACCCTCCCAGAGCGGTTCGCGACACCCTGTTCTCCACATCTCCTGGCAGTTTGCTCCATCTGTGAAGCCCGTCTCCTCTCATTCCTCCTGGCAAACAGCCTCAGTCCCCCTTCCTTCTTGTAGGGCAATGATGTAGGTGCTGCTCTGACTGCCCCCAAACTCAGTAGTTCTCCTCTTTGGCCCTCCACTCAACACAGAGTTAGGCATACAGTAAGTGCTCCATAACTGCTGGTTTTACAAGATGTGAGCGCCTTTAGGAAACAGTAGGCTCTCCTTACCCTGCACCCCTGTGGCATCAGGAGCCGCAGGCGTGGGGAAGAGGGGAGGGTGTGCCCCAGAGTCCTGCCACACCCTCTGCACTTTGCTTTGTTAGTTTCAGTTTAGTTTGAGACTATTTGAGCCACTACTGTGTGCCGGTGCAGACTGTGTGCCGGTGCAGACTGGGCGCCTCTCAGAGGCAGGACCTTGGCCCCACACATCTCCATACTCCCAGCACCTAGCCCAGGGCCTGGCACACTCACTGGCTGCTTCTCTCCTCCCTAATGAGGCAGGACTCATTGGGGGTGGGAGGAGCTGAGAAGGGAACCCAACAGCTGCCTGCTATGGCCAGAGCCTCCCAGATGGGAGCCCACCTGAGTGTGGAATCCTGGTGGGAAGTTGGGAGGCTCCAAGATCAAAGCTCAGGCCAGGATGAGATGTCAGGCAAGGTTCCCTCCCCCATCTCCCTTTTCCCAACAGGAAGGCTGCTGGCCAGTGACTATGGGTGGCATGGCAAGGGAACCTCAGGTGCCATCCTTCCTGTCCCTCGGGAAGTCTCTGGACTATGTGGTGCCCCTGCTCTGTTCCAGCCAAGCCTCCAGCCCAGACCACACCGGGCCTGGGCTTGTCTGGTTCTGTAGCTGGTCTGAAAGTCCTTGAAGGCAAGGTTTGGCTTACACCTCTGTCTCTCCTAGATTTGCCCAGTCCTGAGCCCCAGCTCCGGCCTGGTGAGGGGTCAGTACACGTGGGTTGTAGCCGCAGCTGTGGTGGAAACTACCTGAGCCATATTATCAGTCTAACTGAGCTCTTGCCCCGCGCTCCTGCCCTGGTCTCCAGACTCCCCTCCAGCCAGACCTAAGGGTCCTGGGCAGGAGAGACACCCTGGGCCTTTGAGTCGGATTCGGGTGGGGCTGCTGTGCCTCCTAGCTGGGTGATGGGTAGATTTTAGGCCCTCCCTTGTCACACCTGGATGTTGAATCATAGAAGGATGGACTCCCCAAAGGTTGGGTTAGGGTTATAGGCTGTTCCTTAGAAGGAATTGTAATCAGAGACTTACGGACTCAGAAGTTTTGATCAGTGGGTGTTGGGATCATGGCCTTTCTAAACTGCAGACACAGAAGGGGTACCTCAGAGCTCCCCAGCCAACCCCTCGTGGGGCCCTTCCCCAATCCAGGGGCCTGTTGGCTTGGGTCATTCTCTACCAGGCTGGTCTTAGCTGGCTCCTGCTAAAGCCTCTGGGACCCGGCAGTGTGCCTGTCACAGTGGCTCAGGCAGCAGGAACAGAGAGAGCTTAAGGGTGTGGAGGAGGCTAGCTGGCCAGGCTGTGGCTGTCATTAGCTGGGTAACCTTAAGTGGGACACTTCACGTCTCTGAACCTCAGCATCCTCCTCAGTAAATTGGAAATAATAGTACCTACCTCACAGAAGCGTTAGGTGAATTAATAGATGCAAGATGCTTATAAAGTGCCTTGCGTTGTTTCTTGTTACCATCATTATTCAGCTTGCCAAGTCAGGAATGGAAAGACCCCTTACCCCCATTCCTGCCCCAACGACCCCTGTGTGTGTCTAGCTGCCTTAGGACAATGGGACTTTTTGTTGTGCTATAGCATATCCTCCAGTGAGGGTGGTATCACTGTCCCCATTTTACAGGTGAATAGCCCAAGGCCCCTGGCCTAAGGTCCCCAGCTGGAAAAGTGGTAGAGGCCAAGTTAGGAAACAGATCTGACAGTCTCCTAAGCCCACGTGGGCTCTCCTGCTGTGCCAGACCCAGACAGCCTTGCCTGGGAGCTCCAGAAATGCTGGCCCTTGGCTCTGCCTTAACCCCTGTGGTTGCTTTGAGGGCCTGGCAGCCTCTGTGCAGATTTGTCTGTGAAAGCCTGGGACAGTCTGGGTAGCATGTGCTAGTAAGGCTTGAGCAGGATGTGGGCAGGGAGGTCAGCAGCTGAGTGGTGGTGGTAACGGGGGTCGGAAGCAGGGGCTGCAGGAGCAGAAACATCCCATTTTAGACACTTTGACAAATTGCCTGTTTGTAGTATCCCTCGGTGCTGCCCTCTGTGTGGACTTCCACCCAGAGCAGCTAGGGGCATAGTGAGATCTCTGGGGCTCTAAAAACTCCCTCACCTCCCTCCCCAAGCCCAAAGGACTTTCCAGGAAATCCTGGGGTGGCCCTAAGGCTGAGAACTCCATTTTAATCCTGATAGCCCTGGAGGAGTGTGTACCCTGAGCCCAGCCCCAGAGGACAGCCCGACAGAGGCTGGGGGGAGGACTTGGGAGGTATGGGGCAATGTGCCATCCTGGTAGACACCTCAAGACTGCTGGCCCAGACTCAGCCCATAATGTGTGACTTCTCTGAGCCTCACTTCCCATTTCACAGGGCATTTCAGAGGCTTAAGATGGGAGGCTATAGGCATCAGGTCCGGGGGCTCCTCTTGCCTGCCTTGCTGGGCTGGTGCCCTGGTTGCAAGGCCCAGAGAGACTGGGGGAGGGGGTATGTCGAGAGACCAGGCAGACCAGGCACAGTAGCTCACCACAACACTTTGGGAGGCTGAGGCAGGTGGATCGCTTGAGCTCAGGAGTTCCAGACCAGCCTGGGCAACCTGGCGAAACTCTATACAAAAAATAAAAATATTAGCCGGGCATGGTGGCACGCGCCTGTGGTCCCAGCTGCTCAGGAGGCTAAGAGGGTAGGATTGCCTGCGCCGAGGAGGTCAGGGCTGCAGGGAGCTGTGTTTACAACACTGCCCTCCAGCCTGGGTGAGAGACCTTACCTCAAACAAACAAACAAAAAAACCAAAAAACTGACTGGGGGCCGGGTGTGGTGGCTCACGCCTGTAATCTCAGCACTTTGGGAGGCCAAGGCAGGTGGATCACCTTAGGTGGGAGTTAGCCTGACCAACATGGAGAAACCCCGTCTCTACTAAAAATACAAACTTAGCAGGATGTGGTGGCGCAGGCCTGTAATCCCAGCTACTCGGGAGGCCGAGGCAGGAGAATCGCTTGAACTCGGGAGGCAGAGGTTGCGGTGAGCCGAGATCGTGCCATTGCACTCCAGCCTGGGCAACAAGAGCGAAACTCCGTAAAAACAACAACAACAAAAAACCGACTAGGCAGGAGCAGGCTCCCAGGCCCTTGCCACTTCTCCTGGCTGCCATAAACAGACGAACAGTGTGATGCGGTTGCTGAAAACCAAAATTAACTGGTGCCTCGGCCAAATCAACAGAAATGGAAGTGGGGCTTCGAGATCTGGGAAGTCCCACTGGTCTTGGCATGGCACTGGGGGTCACCCTTCAAGAGACAGAGCACACGCCTCCCCAGTGCACTGCATCCCAGCCCCTGAGACTGCAGAGCGCAGTGGCCCGGACCTCTGTGCAGCAACACGGTATTTGGGGAAGGACTCCTCCAGGGAGTGGAGGCCCAGGGTCCTTTCCTCTGGTTAGAACCCACCCCAGACTCTCAGACAGATGCAGGGCTTCTGTGGTACCTTATGTCTTTGCTCTCAGGGTGCCACACTGGCTCCCAAGTCCTTGCCAGCTTGTGAACTCTTAGGACAGGGGCTGGCCCAGGGGCTGCTCAGGAAACACTGGCATGACTGACAGGATGGGTGGGTTAAGGACAAGGCAAGGGACAAGGTCCAAAGGCTGAAGGGACCCCACCTTCCCGTCCCCGGAATATCCTGGGTCACTCCAAAGCTGACAGCCTGGCTCCTTTGTCCAAGGACTCCTCAGAGGGACCTTATAGCTCATTGAGTCCCTCTCCCCTTTTCCAGAAAGGAAAGCATCTTCCTCAAAATCACACAGCAAGCCAGTGACCCAGCCAGAACCAGCCCCCAGACTCCCAGCTCACAGTCCCACCTGTTCCCCATGCCAACCTGTACTCCTCCCTGCCATGGCCAGTAATGAAGACTGTGCTGGAGGTGGGACTCTGGCACCCCAAGTGGATGCTGCAGGGGTTATGGTTTCATTTCAGGTAGAAGAAACTTCCAACCGGAGTTATCTTCAGGAGACATCACAAGTGTGGAGGCGAGTCCTGCAGGGTAGGGAAGGGGAACAGGAACGAGGCCACGTGGCTGGGACAGGGTGTCTGGAAGCCTCCAGGGGCCAGCCTCTGTCTGGAGGGCTGTGCCAGGGTGGGAGTCCCACTGTAGGGATCTGATAGGAGGCTCCCGCAGGGTGCAGCTAATGCCTCTTGTCCCCTCAGCAGTAAGGCGGACATGGAGGAGCTCTCAGCCTGCGCTTTCAGTGTGGGCCCAGCAGAGAGGGGCCCCTTGCTTGCTGATGAGTGTTAAAGAGCACACACGCTGGGATGCGGGTGTGCTGGGCAATTCTCCAGCATGTCACAACTATATCTAAGGAGAAGGGTTCAGCGGCCAAGTTCAGATTGGGAAACACTAGATTAGACAAAGTGAAAATGGCTTCTTAAATGAGGGACTTCCCAGGGTCTGTATGGGCTCATCTACTCAGGAGAAACCGTGCGCAGCCTCCCTGGACTCATCTGAGCAGGGAACACTTTCCTGCAGAGCCACACGCAGGGCTGGCCTCCCACACAACAGGGCCCATCTGCCTGGACCAGCGCCCCCTCGCTCCCAGCTGTGTGGCCTCGAAGCCACGCCCAAGCTTGGACCCCAGCCTCCTGGTTGGAGAAAACTGATAGCACTGTGTGGGGGAGAGCTGCCGCTGCGAGTGGCAGGGGCCCAGCTCAGGGTCCCTGGGTCTGCTCCCAAACAAACTGCGATTGGTGCTGGGCAAGGGAGTGATGTCTGGGGGGAGGGAGAAGCTGGGCTTGGACTTCCCTCTGGGGTGCTGCAGCATCGAGGTTGTGTGGAGGGCTGAGCACAGCAGGAGGAAGTCGTGAGCAGCCAGGGGCCTCCCCCTCGGTGTCTGTAGCAGCTGGGGCTCCTGCCAGGCCCTGGCGGTCGCCCACTTCCAGCTGGGACGGTCCTGGTCCGCCACAGCCCAGCGCCCTCTCTGGTGACTCAGCACTGGCCACAGGCCCCTTTGCAGGGCCTTTTCCGGTGCAGGGCCCGGGGGGTGGTGGGGAGGGGGCCCACGGCCTGACCTCCAAAGACGGAAGTGGAGAGGTCTACAGGGCAGCCCTAGGGAACATGGACTCAACCCCTCCCATCTCCCTCAACCTCCAAAGGGCCACGAGAGCAGCTGGTCCAGGAAAAACGACGTTTTATTTTCATAAATACTCCTGCTCTCACTCACACACTGACCCCACTTCTGACCACGGACAGATGGATGGACAGACGTAAGACACCCATAGGAGGCCCCAGCAGAGGCCAATGAATGAAGGAGACACACCGAGAACTCTAGGTGCCCCACAGCCCCTCGCTGGGGCCATGGGCCTCTGGCATTACCCTTGAGCCCCCACAGTCCCTCAGGGGGCCCAATGGCAAAGGGAAACCCCCAGGAGTACGGGCCAGGTGAGGTTCCCCCAGCCTGGCCCCCTGAGGCTGTGACCACAGGGCCAATCCGGAAGAAAAGCAGAGTCAAACCACACACCAGAGTGCAAATAGCTGGGGGTGTAGGCGTCACCCCCCAGTCACTGGGTTCCTATGGAGGAGGCCTAAGCTGGTCCCCAGCTCCAGCATGGCCCCCGAGTTATGGCTGGGCCTTCCCATAAGGCATAAGAGACAGGTGGGGAAGACCCCACCCCAGCTGGGGTTGGGGCTGGGCCTGAGGTCCTGGCCCTTCCCCAACAGCTGTGCTTCCTCCCCATGACCCAAGTTCTTCCAAGGCTACACAGCCCCTCCCTCTCCAGGTCCCGGTGATGGAGACCCCAGCGGCACAAACCCAGGCCCAGCCTCCTACTGGGTTTGGCTCAGCAGGGGCGGGGCCGGAGCAGGAGGGGGAAGAGTCACTTGAGGCCTACAGGGGTGTGGGGAGAAGCACCAGGCCTGGGGGTGAATGGCCATGGGCAACAAAGGGTGTCCTTGGCCACCAATGCCTCCCTCCAGGCTGGACAGTGACCGGTCCCTCTGCCCCTTCCTCTCCCCAGCCCCTCTGTTCTAGAGGCTACCCCAGGTTTCAGGTGGGGGGAACTGGTCCACATCCCCCATCTCGTTGTAGGTCTGGTCACCCATGGTGAAGGTGAGCTTGTAGCGGAGGCGAACCTTCTCCTGGGGAAGAGATGGCAAAGGCAGAGGGGTCAGAGGAGGAGAAGTGGCCGTCCCCACCCTGCAGCACTGCCTGGGGGCCCCTTACCTTCTGGGGGTTGGCAAGCAGCAGGACCTGGGTGATTGCTGAGGGGTGGACGATGGGGTTAAAAGCTGGCAGCTCCGTGCCCGAGGGTGGCTGCAGCTTCACCTTCATAACCTGTGGGCAGATGGCAGGATGGGCACAGCTAGCCCTGGCTGCTTGTCCTGCTCTGAGGAACCAGGCCCAGCCTGCCAGCTCCCCTCCGGGGATCCTGGGGCTCAGTCCTTCTGGTCCCTTCTACACCAACCACCCAGCAAGGGAGGGAGACCTGCCCCCTGACAGGTGGCTCCCCACCCAGCTCCATGTCACCCTGCCTTGAGAGGAGGGAGGCATGCCCTGTCCGACTGGCTTGTCACCTTGGGGACAGCTGACTGGAACACGATGTTGCGGATGGGCTGGGGGGCGGTGCTCAGCATGGAAACCACCACCACCAGCACGTCGGAGCGCCCTGGCAGTGGGTCCCGGGCAAAATGGAAGAGGATGCGGAAGCCGTGCTGGTCATACACAGTCACGGGCAGGATGTTGCCTGTGGGAGAAGGTGGGAGGGCGATGGGACAGCTGAGCTGCAGCACATCCGCTCAGCCCCCAGCCCCCACCCGGCTGGCCTCAGGAGCTGGCTGCTGTACTGGCAACAAGAGCAAAGTCCTCCTTTGGGGCCTTACCTGGACCCTGGGTGGCAGTGCAGGCAGGGGCACAGAGCGGTGCCCAGAGAGGGCAGGTGAACCCCCAGTCTGATAGTGGAGGCAGGACACCCACCCCAGAGCCGAGTCACAGCCCAGCTTCCCCCGATGCTGTGTGGCTGCTGCCTGGAGTGCTGGGGTGAGGGACTTGGTGAGGGTGAGTCTCACGCTGTGTGACCTTGCGGCAGTCACTCCCCTTCTCTGAGCTCAGGGTTCTCCTACTGGTGAGAGGGGCAGCTCTGCCCACTGCTGGGAGACACTGTGGGGGTAGTGTCTTTGGTCACAGGGAGCTCATAGAGGGCAATGCTGAGGACCACCAGGCCTCATGTGTCTGCTTGGGGCCCGGGGCTGGGCCATGGTCCCCTTACTGCTCCTGGGCTGGAAAAACCCAGCCTTGGATCTGGGTCTTTATCATGGTTCAGTTCTGTAATCTGGGGGAGACCCCAAACCTCTCTGTGTCCTGGGCCCTGCCTTCCTGGGGATGGAAGGGGCCCAGAGCCTACTCCCTAGAGGTCTTCTTGCTTATATAAGCCTGGAGTTTGTACAGCAGTCCTCTGATTGCTCTGGGGCAGATAAGGAAACTGACTCCTGGGAAGGGGAGGGCCTTGTTCAGAGCTCCCCTCTGGTTGGCCAGTGGCAGAGCCAGGGGAGCCCTGCTTTCCCACTAGCTTCCCCAGACAGAGCTCCTGACAGGGCAGCAAGCTGACCCAACCCAGCCTGCACCTGCCCCAGCCCTACTCACTGGGTTTGATGGACTCCAGGGGCACAGTGATGCTGGCCAGTGAGAGCTCGGTTGGTACGGGCTGCTGCGGAGGCCTGGGGGGCTCTGGGGACACGGTGTGGAGAAGGCTGGTGGCGCTGGAGCTGGGGGAGCTGCAGCTGCTGCTCTTATTCTGCAGGTCCCGGAGTGTGAGCCGGGGGGTTGGCTGCTGCTTCTCCCTTAATCGGGGGACAGTGCATTAAGAAGTGATTCTTGGCCAGCGTGGTAGCTCACCCCTGTAATTCCAACACTTTGGGAGGCTGAGGCGGGCAGATCGCTTGAGCTCAGGAGTTTGAGACCAGCCTGGGCAACATGGCGAAACCCGGTCTGTATAAAAAATACAAAAAACTAGCTGGGCGTGGTAGCGCACACCTGTGGTCCCAGCTACTCAGGAGCCTGACGTAGGAGAATCGCTTGAGTTTGGGAGATGGAGGTTGCAGTGAGCCGAGATCATGCCACTGTACTCCAGCCTGGGTGACAGGGTGAGACTCCCTCTCAAAAAAAGAAAAAGTGATTCTTTGGTGATGGAGAGATCAGGGGCACAGGAAAGGCTGGCACGTGTGGCTATCTCTCTGGCCTTGGGTCTTACCTTTAGAAGGAGCAGCTCGTGTTCTCCCTCCACCCTGCACCCCACCTATTCACTCCAGCCCAGTGTCCTCCCCTCTGCCGGCCCTCTGGACCTTTCTCAAGGGAGCTGGGAACACCTGGGGGGAGGCCAGGCCAGTGGGCCCAGGTCTGCCTTGGGCACTGTTGTGTTTCCAGAGGCAGGTGCACTGCTTGGCATCTGCTGCTTACAAAACAAGACAGCAACGAGCCTCTCCCTGCTGGGCCTGGACAAGCCCAGGAGAAGTTGCTGGTTTGTGGGAACAGGGAGTGCTCCCCACCCCATGCCAGCCATGGTGGGCCCTCACCACCGCACTTGCTGGGATTCCGGGGGCAGCGACTGCTGCAGGAGGGTCTTCCCCAGGAGGTCTAGGTCGTCCAGACCGCTGCTTGCTGGCAGGGATGTCTGCGCTGGGGGTCGGCTTTCCATACTGGGGGCCTGGGCCAGAGCAGGGGCTGGGGGCTCAGTGGCATCCGACGACTGTGGGGAAAAGGATGCAGGTGGGGTGGGGCTGTCTAGAGAGGTGTCAGCATCACCTGATCCTGCCCTGAGGCTCAGTGTCCTCCTTGCAAATGACATCTGGGAAAGCAGCCACAGAGGTGGGGACCCCAGACCACCCATGTCCATGATGCAGGGTGGCTGGGTCTGGTTGGGGGTTCTACAATCCAGGGACCTCTGTCACCCTCAAGGGAAAGGAAGAGGGATTGCCCATCTCAATCCCAATCCCAAAGGCTGGGCTGCAGCCCCAAGGCTGAGACTTGGGGAAGATACAGCTGGAGGTAAGGGGAGGCCCTGTACCCTGGGTGGGTGTCTCCAGGCCCCTGGGCCACCCCCTGGCCCTGGGCTCTTGAGTAGAGCCCATCCATCCTTTTAGTTTCTCCAGGCCACTTGTCCCAGCTGCCCTGACCCTGGGACTGGGACAGGCCAGACTAGTTTGTGGTCCCCTCCTACCTGGAAGCTGTTCCATCCGGTACCATCCAGGCTTGGGCCTGAAGGGGGTGTGGGGTCACTGAGGCCTGAGGGGAAAGCAGGAGAGAGGTGAAGGAGCTGGGCTGACCCTGCAGAGGCCAGAGAGCCGAGGGGCCATGTGTGCTGGCATGGGGCTCCCTACCCCTTTCTGAGGCTCAGCACGGAGGGGAGAAACCCACATTTTCAGAGGGAACCAGCAGCAGAGCAGAACCAGTAACCAAGATCCCGGCAACCCCTTGTGCTGACCCCACACACGCTTCCCCTCTTCCTGGCCAGGCCACTCCAAAGCTCTGTGCACACAGACAATAGACATCAGGACTTTCATCTTCACTCGTCATCTGGCAGCAGAGAGCCTGCAGGGCTGGGCTGCAGGGAGAAGAGGTTCCTTTCCTCACGCATCCAGGCAAGGGGAGAGCAGCTCTGTGCCTGCCACTGGCCCACTCGAGGGACGCCTGCTGGGTGACTGTGGGCTAGGCACTGTGCTGGCTGAGCCACAGTGTCCCCAAGAATACGAGGACAGGGCTGGACTGGAGGCGACGCTGAAGGCCCTCTTGGCCCTGGCACATGCCAGTGAGGCTCACTGGTACTATGGAGGGCTGGGGATCCCTGTGGATGGCCCTAGAACTAGCTGCCGATGGGAAGGAGGCAGCAGGTCACCAGCCAGCCTGACCTCTGCCTGCCCTGGAATACTGTCAGCCAAGTTCACCCCAAATCTGACCTAGAGAAGATAAGGGATCTTGTTTCCAACAAATCCTGAAAAAGTGAGGTCCAAACCGAAGTGCTACCTGACAGGCAAAGGCAAGGGTACCAGGAAGCTGTGACAGTGGGTCCCTTCTAGATGCACTTCTTAGAGGCCAGAGATAAAGTGCACTGATGATGCCCTAGATGCTTCAGGCCCTTCAGATGCTGGTCTTGCTTAATCCTCAAACAACCTTCAAAGGTAGGGGTGAGCTTCTCAGCCCTCTTTTAGGGATAAGAAAATGGACTCAAAGTTGGTAAATAACCTGCCCGAGAACACACAGCTAGAAAGTGGCAGAGTCTGGACTCAGACAGAGCATGGCCTGACTGCCAGCATTTGAACACAACTCTGCCACTTGGCTGTGTGATATTGGGGGGTGACAGCCTCATCTGTAAAATGGAGACACCAGCCAGGTGCAGTGGCTAATGTCTGTAATCCCAGCTATTTGGGAGGCTGAAGCTGGGGTTTGAGATAAGCCCTGGCAGCATAGAGACTCTACCCCTAAAGAATAAAAGGAAAAAAAATTAGCCAATGCCTGTGGTCCCATCTACTTGGGAGGCTGAGATGGGAGGATTAGTTGAAGCCAGAAGTTTGAGACCAGCCTGAGCAATATAGTGAGACCCCCATCTCAAAACCAAAAAGAGGTGGGCGCAGTGGCTCATGCCTGTCATCCCAGCATTTTAGGAAGCTGGGGTGGGTGGATCACTTGAGGCCAGGAGTTCAATACCGGCCTGGCCAACACAGGTGAAACCGTGTGTCTACTAAAAATAAACTAATTAACCGGGTGTGGTGGCACACACCTGTAGTCCCAACTACTCAGGAGCCTGAGATGGGAGGATCACTTGAGACGGGGGAGGTTAAGGCTGCCTGAACACCCTCCTTGAGGGACAGGAACCTGTCTCCCACCCCTGCCGTGAAGAGTGAGGACCAGCCCCCTGTGTGGCCCCAGGGCCTCCTCCATTCCCCAGGCCCAGGCTGCAGGCTGCCCTGGCACTTCCGGCTCCTGTGCCCCCATGCTTTGCCTCTGAGAGGAAAACAGAAGGAAGCTGGTGGCTCAGAACTATGCCAGTGCAGTGCGGGGACAGGAAGTGCGGCTGCATCTCGCTTCTCTTGTGGAGGTGGTGCTGCAGCTGCTGGCTGGGGGCTGGTGGCCCTGCAGTACTTCCCCACCCACTGCCCCTCAGGTAGCTGCCACCCAGGGCTGGCTCCACAGGGGAAGATAAACCTTGTATGAACGTTCCTGTCCCTTGACCGTCCTTTACTTCTCTGTAGAATGGGGTAAAGGTCCTCTCCCTGCGGTCACCCTTGGCTCTGAATGAAGAGGGGGCGGCTGCATGGGGCTCGTAAGCAGCTTCAGGGAGGGTGCTGGCTGCTGGGTTCACAAAGGGAGCTCACAACTGGGCCTCCTTTCCCCTCAGCTCTCCTTCCCCTTCAGCTCTCCCTCCACACTCCGGGTCCTCATTTCCTTTTCCTTGCTTATGAACAACGAGTCAGAGCAGCCCAGCTGCTCAGAGTGTGGCTTCAGGATCAGAGCCCAGCTCAAGTCCTAGAGCCCTTTCTGCACAAGTCACCCAGCCTTTCTTTTTCCTTTTCTTTTTCTTTTTTTTGTGAGACGGAGCCTTGCTCTGTCAACCAGGCTGGAGTGCAGTGGTGCCATCTCGGCTCACCGCAACCTCTGCTTCCCCAGTTCAAGCAATTTTCCTGCATCAGCCTCCCCAGTAGCTGGGACTACAGGCATGTGCCACCACGCCCAGCTAATTTTGTATTTTTAATAGACATGGGGTTTCGCCATGTTGGCCAGGCTAGTTTCAAACTCCTGACCTCAAGTAATCCCTCTGCCTTGGCCTCCCAAAGTGCTGGGATTCCAGGCGTGAGCCACCGCGCCTTTCTGTGCTGCCGTTTCCTCATTGTGCAGTGGGGCTATTAACGGCACCTGCCTGCAGAGACCGTGAGGGTCACCTAAGACAGGACAGAGTGCAGTAGTGGGCACCACCAAAGGAAGCACTCCTGGAACCCAGGCAGACCCCGCCCAGGGCGCCCCGGGTCCCCATCACTTCTTCAAGGCCTTCGGGTCTGGTTTTTGCTTCAGAACTGGCTCAGGAAACCACAGTCTGAATCTTGGCTTCCAACATATCCCTGAGGATTCCTTTGATGTGGCCCTAACGTATCTGCTCTTCATCCCTTCAGTGGCTCTCAGGAGGAGGCTGTTCTGATCTCAGCTCTCGGATGGGGCTGCTGCCCTGAGAGCAGTTGGAAACCCAAAAATGGTTTGGGCAGCTGGGAACGCTTTGCTGCTTCCCCCCGGGGAAGCCTGGCCCCTGCTGGGCTCTGGAGCCGGAGCCTGCCCGGGAGTAACAGCAGGCCTGGCCCTGGACCAGCTTGGATCACCGAGTCCCTCGCGCTCTGGCCTCGGCTTCTCTGGAGCCTCTGGGTGCTCTGGAGCCCAGAGCCCTCCCTCTCCTCTTGGTGGATGAAGAAACTGCTGAACTTTTGCCCAGACAGTTCTCAATTCCAGGCTCTAACCTGTTGCGGGGAAATCCCCTGGTTTCCCCCCAGGCTGCCAGAGCCTGAATGCTGGTTAGCTTATCCGAGGCCGGCTTAGAGGTTGCCAGCCTCACCCTCTGGCCGTGTGGCCTCGCACAAGCTCCTAACTTCCCCGAGCCTCAGTTTCCTCAGTTGTGAAGTGGGCCTAATGCTCATCCACGTGCCCCACAGGATCCACACCTGGGGTACGTGGTTCCGCTAGCTGTGAGTGGGCCCTGGGATCATGCCCCATCTGCTGCTGAGCCCGCCCTCCTCCAGGCCTGGCCCCTTCCTCACCCAGAGACATGAGCTCGTCGTCAAGCAGGGAAACTGAGGCACTGGGCTGCTCAGGGCTGGCCTGCTCGCCAGGGCGGGTGGGCATAGCTGGGTAGGTGGTGCCCGCAGGCGGGAGATCCAGGCCTGAGAGATCCAGCAGGGCCGAGGTGCTCCCTGGGGTGGGAAAGAAGAGGCTGGCAAGTCCTGGGTGTACACGTGTCTCTCAGAGTCCACAGGGGTTGCGGGGGAGCAACACCTAACCCCCGATGCTTTACCACTGGTCTCCTGCCTCCCCTTCCTTGGCCACACCAGCCCCTGCCTGGAAACTGCTCAACAGGACCTCTCTTTGGCATATGATGGTACTTCTGTCCGGAATGTATTTCCTTCTTAGCTCTACTGGGCAAACTGCTACCCATCCTTAAGGCCCTGCTGAAACTTGGCTGCTTCCGTGCAGCGCCTCCATCTCCACTTCTCCCTAACAGAACCAATTCTAACCCCTTTTGTGACCCCCCAAGGCTGCCATCTTACCCTTATTAGACCTGAGTCTGTAATGTTTACTTTTCTAACCCCCCTCGCATTTTCTGATACATAAAGCCTCTGGGGTGTCATCTAGCCCTATACAACAGGTGCCAGATTTGTCAAATGAAAGAATGCCTTCCTTCTTCTGCCTGTCCTCACCAAACCCTCAGCTCCCCCACCAGACTTCTTCCCCCACAGCTGCAGGCTTGGCACAGACTTCACCCCCAGCTCCCTCCCTGGGGCCTTCCCCATCTTAAGGGGCCAGGGTCACCCTGGCAGTCATTCCAGCCGCTCTGAGACCAGCACACCACCCTGCACTCTCTGTGCCCCTCCAGCCTGATGGGTGCCCTCCCAGCTCTCCTGCCACCTCCTCACCAGGGATGGAGCCGGCTGTGGCATCACCGTTGACCTCCTCACCCCGCACCAGCTGCTTATACAGGTTGATCACCTGGGTGAGGTTGTCATTGGCCTGCAGGATCTCCGCTGGAACAGGCAGGAGGGGAGAGGCCAGGCTGAAGGACTGTGGGGGCCTCTGGGCGGCAGGGGACGAGGACCCCACATCCATCACAGCCTGTGTGTGAGGGGAAGGGAAAGGGGCAGGGAAACAGCCCATCTCGTCTGCTGAGACTCTGGCCCTCCGCCACCTCCCTGGTCTCACCTCCCACCCTTCCCTCATTCACTCCCTGCCATACTGCCTGGGCTGTCTCAACACACTGGGCCCGCTCCCGCCTCCAGGCCTCCACTCCAGCTCTGCTCTCTGGCTGCCCCAGATCTCTGCATGGCTTCATCCCTTACTGCCTTCAGGTCTTCACCCAAGGCTCACCTCAGGGAGGCCTGTCCTAAATCCCTCCTGCACCACCTCATCCCTTCCCTGCTTCTCTTCCTCCATGCCACTCACCACCGTGACGAACTGTCGGTGCTCATGGACTTGGTTATTGTCTGTCTCCTCTCACTAAACTACCATGAGGAAGTTTTTGTCAACCTTTTTTTTTTTTTTTTAATATAAATATATTTGAAATAGAGACTGGGTCTCTCTATGTTACCCAGGCTGGTCTTGAACTCCTGGACTAAAGCAATCCTCCCACCTTGGCCTCCCAAAATGCTGGGATTACAGGTGTGAACCACTGCACCCGGCGTTTTGCAAACTTTGATCAGTGCCAGATCCCTGAGGGCCTAGAACAGTGCCTGGCACCAATCAGGCCCTCGGCAACACTGCCTTCCCCAGGTGCCAGGGTGTGGGGCAATCTGGGCAGTGAGCCTTGTGGGTGGGGCTCCTGCTTAATGAGGGAGTGGATGGTACCCAGACCGCAGCCCAAGTGGCCCAGGCTGACACGTGGGCAGAGATCAAGGAAAAGAACCTGGTATGTGGCCCTGGCAGAAGCCGTCAGGCTCAGGTCTGGAACTGCCTGGGCTGTGGGATGCACTCTTAGCTTCCATTCACCCTCATTAGGGAGGAAGGTCTGGGGGCAGATGGCCCTCCGTCTCCCCTGGCTCTGCCACTGTTCTGCTCTGTGATCTGGGCAAGTCATTTTCCTCCCTTAGCCCCAGTTGTGAAAAGGGGATGGGTCTGCCTCCTGTGCAGCTGCGGGTAGTAAATAAGATGCCTGTTAAGGGGGCTGGCCCACAGGGCCTCTCAACAGGGGGGCGGCCCCTGCTCTGTGTCCTCAGAGAGGAGAAACCCAAGGTCGGTGCTGGAGAAGGGGGCCCCCTGGTGGTGGCTCCTTCCAACTGCAGATACTTAGCAGGGCCTGGGGGAGGTGGGGGCAGGAGGTGGAGGGAGAGGGGGGGACCTGACCTCAGCACCTGCCCTGGGCTCACCTAAGGCCTCATCATTGTCCTCTGTGTCACTCGCCAGTCGGAAGAGCGTGGGCCGCATCCGCTCACAGCGCTGGTACAGTTCCTGAGGGCAGCAGGATGGGCGGGTCAGGGTCCGCGTGGGCTGTGGAGTGGGCAGGGAGTGGGGTAGGCAGGGAGGCAGGTGCACCTTCATGAGGTCCTCGCTGCTGCCAGCTGCTGCGCCGCCCTGGCTGTGGCTCATCACCATCTCCGTGAGCAGTTTCACATTGTTGTTCACCTCCTCGATGGCATTCACCCTCTTCGAGATCTTCTCCATCCGCTTCTGGTCCTGGGGACACATTGGCCAAGGGCCCCTGAGAACCTTTGGCCTGGACGAGGCACTGCCCCCTGCCACTTGAGAGAATGTGTGCTGGGATCTGGGTTGACAGCTGGGTGACTGTGGGATCACACTCTGGGTGGGGCTCCAGCAGGCCCTGCCAGGAGCCCCTCATGCCTAGGAAGGGCACGCTGGTCCAAGAAGCCCCCAGTGCCCAGGCCTCTGCACAAGCTCATCAGGATCTTCAGAGATGGCCCAGGAACCTGGGTTTCCAAACCCCTCACCAGGTGCTTCTGAAGGCCCAGGGCCCTAGACCTCCACTGTGGTTCTCAGTGACTCTTGCCCTCCTTGTGTTTGCCCTTTCAAAGGAGGTTCCTGTACTTCATAGTGCAAGGGGACCTCTGTGGTCACCAGGTACAGCCTGGAAACGAGCAGGAAGACCCTTCCAGTGTCTGTCGGTGCCTGGCAGATGGGGGAGCCCGTGCCTTCAAAGGCTGCTTTTGGGAGCAGCCCGGCTTTCCCCTGCCCCTCCGCTTACTGTGCGTGCCCCTCCTTTGCAGAGTGAAAAGTGGCCTCACACAGTCCTCCCACCTTGGCCTCCAAAGTGCTGGGATTACAGGCATGAGCCACCACATCCAGCTTTGAAACTTTTTTTTCAGCACTTTGGGAGGCCGAGATGGGAGGGTCATTGAGCCCAGGAGTTACAGACTAGTTTGGGCAACAAAGGGAGATGCTGTCTCTACAAAAAATAAAATTAGCCGGGCGCTGTAGCGTGTGCCTTTGGTCCCAGCTACTTGGGAGGTTGAGGTGGGAGGATCGCTTGAGCCCAGGAGGTCGAGGCTGCAGTGAGCCATGATCGTGCCACTGCACTCCAGGATGAGATCTTGTCTCAATTAAAAAAAAAAAGTTTCAGCAGGCACCCAGGCAACATATGTATATTTACTTAAAAATTAAACATTTGGCCAGGCAGTGGCTCATGCCTGTAATCCCAGCACTTTGGGACGCCGAGGCAGGCAGATTGCTTGAGCCCAGGAGTTCCAGACCAGCCTGGGCAATGTGGCGAAACCCCTTCTCCACAAAAAAAATACAAAAACTATACCGGTGTGGTGGCACACGTATTTAGTGCCAGCGGCCTGGGAGGTTGAGGTGGGAGGACTGCTTGAGCCCGGGAGGTTGAGGCTGCAATGAGCCATGATCATGCCACTGTACTCCTGCTTGGGCTAGAGAGTGAGTCCTTGTCTCAAAAAAAGTCTCCTCATATACATACACGTATACATACTTACATATATTCATTAGTATTTTTAAATACTAAAAAATAATTTTAAAAATACTTAGTATTTTTAAATACTAAAAAGTAATTTTAAAAATACTTAGTATTTTTAAAAATATACTAAGGCCTAATTCATTTCTAACTTTTGACGAAGAGGTAGCCAGCCTCCCAAAGGCCCATCCAGAGCAAGTCACCCAGGCTGCCGGGAATTCTTCCCTGCACACCCTGGTCCCCCAGCATCAGCTTCTCTGCTGTGCCAGCCCGGGTCACTGCAGGGCTCCTTCCATGTGAAGATGCATACAGCCCCATCTCAGTGGCCCAGCTCAATACCCCCATCCCGCCTCCTCCCTGTGCTCTGGGCTCGGCCGCTACCTCCTGCACCATCTCTTTGATGAGCTTATTGGCTGCGCGGAGGTCTTCGGGATGGGAGCTCTTCAGCAGGCGGGCCAGCATCTGCAGAGACAGAGGGGTGTGACCGTGAGGGCAGCACCTGGGCCAGGGGTCAGAAGACTGGAGTCACATGATGGCTCCCCGCTTCCTGCCTGTGGGACCTGAGTAAGTTACTTAAGCTCTCTGTGAAATGGTGAGAATTTACTGATGCCTGATAGGGTGGCCACAGGCCAGCGGAGACACTGCATGTAAAGTGCACACCACAGCGCCTAGCAGAAATAAGTAATCAACAAATGGTGCTCCTTATATCCCCATGGCTGAGAACCTTTCTGGGACAATGTACAAGAACCTTAACAGTAGACACTCTCCAGGGCTGGGGCTAAGACTGGGGAGAGGGGACCTTTTACTTTAACCTCTTTATTTTAATCTTACCTCCTCCTGGGCTGTTTAACTTTTCACCCACAAGTTTTAATTTTATTAACTTTTAACAAAAAATTAGTGAAATTCTTATAGAAAAGGTCAAAATACCCTCAAACAAACTCCAGGGACACCAGACACACTCCTGTTTATTAAATGTGGGGATGCTGTATGGGACATACTCAGCACATATTAAATGCCCAGTAAACAGCGCCCATCATCTACAACGATGCCTGGGCTCAGTGTGTGCCTCTGTTCCAACGGCTGATGCCAGGGCAGCTAGAGGTCAGAACCCACGGACCCCCACCTGGGCTCAGAGTCCCCATATGTGCCTCCTTGGAGTCTCACCTTGGATTTCTCCTCATCTTCAAAGATCACATTCTTCGGCCGTGGAGGAGGAAGGGGAAAGGTAGTGTCATCTGGAAGCTTGGGGTCGGACTTTACAATCCCTGGATTAGATGAGTGTCAGAAAGGCTGTCAATATGTCCCAGGCCCAGGGGTAGGGGTGACATGGGGATGGGGGCAGGCAAGGGTAGGACAGAAGAGGGAGGTCAGTCTTTTGCCAGCACGCTGGCTCTGGACTCTTAGTGGCCTGGGCCTACTCCTACCTACTCCATCAAAATTGCCTGGGGGAGATGGTTTGGGGACCCATATTTTGAGGCCACTCCCTGGAGACCACTCTTTGAGGGGAAGCTTGATTCGAACTCACCTTCTTTCCACCCAAGCTAGCCTCAGGCAGAGCACAGAAGGCCGCACTAGCTGTATGTACTTTCTCCAGAAGTTAAAGGACAGACCCATGACCTTGCTGGCTCAGAAGCCCCTGAAGCCGCTGGAGCCCCAGCTCATGGTGGGGGAGGGGAAGGCAGGCCCTGGTCGCCCCCCACCCTCTGTGTGCCTCACCCTGCTTCTTTAGCATCTGGTAGGCCTCTGCGATTTTCACCTCCTCGGGCAGGCCCACTGTCCAGCTGTAGAGGAGCTCCAAGATCTTGTTCTTCACCTTCTCCGATGTCCGAGAGCCCAGATACTTCAGGGACACAGTGGGGAGGCCTTTGATACTGCCCAGCCCCACTCACTTCAGTCTCAAGCCCTGTCCACACCCTACTGCCTCCCCAGGACTCCCCGGGAAGCCCTCTAGCCTACAGGGTCCTCATAGCCCCGCCCAACCAGCCTGGGGTAGACTGAGTTCACCTACTACCCCTGCCACTTATTAGCTGGGTCAGCCCTCAGTGTCTGTTTCCCCACCTGCTAGATGGCACCATGGTGAGGATGCAGAACTGACATGAGGGACAGGCCTGCTCATAGTCGGCTCTGGGGACTTAGCCTTGACATCCCAGGAAAGAGGAGCCAGAGGTCTCCAGGCTGCCCAGGGAGGGGTGAGGGTGGAACTGGGAGGCCCTGGGCCTACTCTCCGTCTCCTAGCAGCAAACTGGGCTGGGGAAAGTGGCTCTCACAGCAGAGTCCCCTGTTGGGAGGAGAATGGGAGGCCATATGGATTATTCAGTAGCTCTGGTCAAAGGATGGGTCTGAGCAAGGAAGGGCCAAGGGGGTGGGCTGTCACTCAAACAGCTTAAGAAATGTTCACAGTAGGCCGGAGGCCATGGCTCACGCCTGTAATCCCAGCACTTTGGGAGGCCAATGCAGGTGGATCATGAGGTCAGGAGTTCAAGACCAGCCTGACCAATATGGTGAAACCCTGTCTCTACTAAAAATAAAAAATTAGCCAGGCTTGGTGGTGGGCACCTATAATTGCAGCTACTCTGGAGGATGAGGCAGGAGAATTGCTCAAACCTGGGAGGTGGAGGGTGCAGTGAGCTGAGATCGCGCCATTGCACTCCAGCTTGGGTGACAAGAGTGAAACTCCTTGTCAAAAAAAAAAAAAAAATGTTCACGGTAGGTAGGCCGGGCATGGTGGCTCACGCCTGTAATCCCGGCACTTTGGGAGTCCACGACAGGCAGATCATGAGGTCAGGAGTTCAAGACCAGCCTGGCCAACATGGTGAAACCCCATCTCTACTAAAAATACAAAAAATTAGCCGGGCATGGTGGCGTGCACCTGCAATCCCAGCTACTTGGGAGGTTGAGGCAGGAGAATTGCTTGAACCCAGGAGGTGGAGGTTGTGGAGCGTAGAGATCATGCCATTGCACTCCAGCCTGGGTGACAGAGCAAGACTCCATCTCAAAAAAATAAAGAAAAAGAAACGTTCATGGTCTGTGGGAAGACTCCTTGGGCTGAGCCGGGGATGGCCCGTCTGGAGCCAGCAGGCTCCATCACTCAGGTCTGTGGCCTTGGATGCTGAGGTCCAGGGAGGTTGCTCTTGTGTGGTGGGGACAGGGAAACCTGCCAGAGACCAGGTAGGGTTCTGTGGCCAGGTCCACAGGGAGTGATTTCAGGCCAGAGATGGCTGACACATACAGCCATCTGTCAGCTTATGTATTCCCTGGAATCATTTCTTCCTAAGCACCGGGCAGCTCCATGGCTGCCCCGCCCCTGGCCAGCCTGGAAACACTCCTCCGAGACCCCAGGCTGTCCCAGAATCAGGTATGAGAGGACTGTGAGAAGAGATCTGTGTTTTTCCTAGGTCTGAGTTCTAATGGGGGGCTGAGGTGACACCCCAGTGGGAGGCTCCCTGGAAAAGTCGCTCCACAATCTGAAGGTCCTCTTTCCTCTCCCCACATCCGACAGGGCAGGTCTGAGCTTGGGCTGGGGGCACCAACCTTGGGAGACACGACCTTGATGAGCTCGTTGAGAAAGCGGAACTTGCCCACTTCGTCGTGGAACCGCTTGCCGCAGCTCTTCATGCATGTTTCCAGCACCTGTGCAGGGAGGGGGGATGGGAGGGGACGCCCAGGTGCATCAGAGGCCGTGGCCTCCCTCCCACGCCTTGGACAGGGGCCAGAAGCCCATGGGTGGGCTTTCAGAAGGGAGGGAATGGCCTGTGAGGTTGGAAGATTCAGAGTCACACAGGCCTCTGGGACTGGTCATCACTCCCATGGGAGATAGGGTCAGGCGACCTACATACAGTGCCCAGCAATGCCCAACCTGTAGCAATGCTCTAGTCCCATTCATAGCTTAGGCCCCACATCTGAGTACCAACTGTACATTATTTTCTTACTATTTTTCCTTTTTTTTTTTTTTTTTGAGACAGAGTTTCACTCTTGTTGCCCAGGTTGGAATGCAGTAGCACGATCTCGGCTCACTGTAACCTCTGCCTCCTGGGTTCAAATGATTCTTCTGCCTCAGCCTCCCAAGTAGCTGGGATTACAGGCGCCCGCCCACCACGCCTCGCTAATTTTTTATTTTTAGTAGACATGGGGCTTCTCCATGTTGGTCAGGCTGATCTTGAACTCCTGATCTCAGGTGATCTGCCCGCCTCAGCCTGCCAAAGTGCTGGGATTACAGGCGTGAGCCACCAGCCCGGCCTATTTTTCCTTTTTTAAAAAAACCTTATATAGGCAACACCTACCTTGGCCTTATCCTAAGCTACATCTATGAAATCATAGGACTAGTTATACTTGAGAAAAAAATGTTAAAACAAATATGTAACAATAATGATTATTATTTAGAGATGGGGTCTCACTCTGTTGTCCAGTCTGGAGTACAGTGGCACAATCATAGCTCACTGTAGCCTTGAACTCCTTGCCTCAAGCAAGCCTCCTGCCTTGGCCTCCCCAAGTGCTGAAATTACAGGTATAAGCCACTGCACCCAACTAAACACGTAAGTATTAAAAGAGAAACTGTATCTCTACCACCACTTAAAATCAGCTTTGCTCCATGGTGGGTTGGTATGTGGCCCATGCTGGGGGCCACAGACAGTACACCCCTCTCTCCTCTGCTATTGAACAGATGCAAAACCTCAGGCCTGAGCCCAAGCACCACCCCTTAGCTTTACAAACGTGCAGATCTCTGGATGCAGATACTCCAGGAGTGTGGCCTCGGCAGGTCTGGGTGGAGCCCTGATTCCATGTGTTGAACACGCTTCCTGGAGAGGCAGCCGATGTGCAGCTGAAGCAAAGAACCCCTGGACCAGATGACCCTAGAGGGCCTTCCCTCAGCAACAGGCCTACGTGTATGGATGCTGGGGTGGGAGGCCAGCCCGCTGGCTGTGGTGGGACCCTTGGGGCAGGCCCGGACCTCCATCCTGGGCCATCTTAGCACAACTCTCTTGGGCTCTGAAGAGCCTTATGGACCCCAAGAACCTCAGTCTTGGCCTCCCTTGGTGTCGTCACATGGCGGGGGACGGATGGTGGCCTCTCCCCTTCTCACCGTCAAGGCCTGGATCGCCTCCCACTCCTGTGGGGACTGGATCTTGTGGGCCAGCAGCCGGGTGGCGAGTGGAGGCCTGGGTGGGAGGAACAACACAGAGCCAGAGTCGCCACGGAGTCCCGGTCACCCTAGGGCCACGACCCCAGGCCGCTGGGACTGCAGCCCTCCTCCAAGGGGCCCTGGTCGCCCTAGGGGAGGGTCACCACCCCAGCCCGCCGCCGAGACTTCAGCCCTCTAAGGTTTCTGCAGGCATATGCAAAGGCCCAGCTCCCTCTCCAGATCAGTTATGGCCTGAGATTGTGGCAGGGCAGGGCCAGACAGAGACTGCAGGCAGGGACCTTCAAAAGGTATGAGCTCAGCTCCTGGGCTGGCCTAAGAACTCTGATGTGTCACGTCCTTGGCTTGGCTTGCCATAGAGACAATTACAATATGCCATGAGAGACGGGCAGACACAGTTCCCTGGGAACTCAAGGTGGCAAAGGACGTTCTGCTGTGGCAAATCAGAGCAGCTTCATGGTGGAGGTGGTGACATCATCTAACAGACTGTAAAAGACCCGTCACCAGTGACGGTAAGAGCTCACATGTGCTGAACTGGTCATGTGTGAGGAGGCTCACATGCACTTTCCTGCCTAAGCTGCATAAGGCAGGCAGCACGGTCATTCCCGCCTCACCGTGGGAAGTTCCTTCAACTGTGAAGAAACTGACACTCAGAGGCAACCACTCACCCAAGGTTACTCAGCTAAGAGAGGGGACAGGACTCGTACCCAAGCAGCACGACTCCAAAGCACACACACCGCTGTTTGTGGTCCCGAAACTTTAGTATCGCCTGGGGAGCCCACTAAGAATGTCCACTCCCAGCTGGGCACGGTGGCTCATGCCTGTAATCCCAGCACTTTGGGAGGCCGAGGCAGGTGGATCATGAGGTCAGGAGATCGAGACCATCCTGGCTAACACGGTGAAACCCTGTCTCTACTAAAAAATACAAAAAAATTAGCCGGGTGTGGTGGCAGGCGCCTGTAGTCCCAGCTGCTGGGGAGGCTGAGGCAGGAGAACCGCGTGAACCTGGGAGGCGGAGCTTGCAGTGAGCCGAGATCGTGCCAATGCACTCCAGCCTGGGCGACAGAGCGAGACTCCATCTCAAAAAAAAAAATAAAAAGAATGTCCACTCCCAACCCCCCACTGGACAGTCGAGTCTGGGGGCAGCCCAAGAAGGTGCATTTACTTTATTTATTTTTTTGAGATGGAGTCTCACCGTCACCATGCTGGAGTGCAGTAATGCAATCTTGGCTCACTGCAACCTCAGCCTCCCGGGTTCAAGCGATTCTCCTGCCTCAGCCTCCCGAGTAGCTGGGACTACAGGCGCACACCACCGCTCCTTGCTAATTTTTGCATTTTTAGTAGAGATGGGGTTTCACCATGTTGGCCAGGATGGTCTCAATCTGTTGGCCTCGTGATCCACCTGCCTCAGCCTCCCAGAGTGCTGGGATTATAGACGTAAGCCACCACACCCGGCCTTATTTTTTATTATTTATTTATTTACTTATTTTTTGAGACGGAGTTTCACTCCGTCGCCCAGGCTGGAGTGCAATGGCACGATCTTGGCTCACTGCAACTTCTACCTCCTGGGTTCAAGCAATTCTCCTGCCTCAGCCTCCCGAGTAGCTGGGATTACAGGCATGCACCACCATGCCCGGCTAATTTTTTTTGTATTTTTAGTAGAGATGGGATTTCTCTATGTTGGTAAGGCTGGTCTTGAACTCCCAACCTCAGGTGATCCACCTGCCTTGGCCTCCCAAAGTGCTGGGATTACAGGCGTGAGCCACCATGCCTGGCCTATTTTTTTATTTTTTAAGAGATGATGTCTCGCTATGTTGCCCCGCTATGTTGCCCAGGCTAGCCTCAAGGGATCCTCCCGCCTTGGCCTCCCCAGTAACTGAGATTACAGGTGTGCACCACCATGCCTGGCTAAGAATGTACATTTCTGACAAGCATTCTAGGTAATTCTTTGTTTTGTTTTTCGAGACAGAGTCTCACTCTGCTGCCCAGGCTGCAGGGCAGTGGCGCAATCTCGGCTCATTACAATCTCTGTCTCTTGGGTTCAAGCAATTCTCCTGCCTCAGCCTCCTGAGTAGCTGGGATTACAGGCACGTGCCACCACGCCCAGCTAATTTTTGCATTTTTAGTAGAGACGGGGTGTCACCATGTTGGCCACGCTGGTCTCAAACTCCTGACCTCAGGTAATCCACCCACTTCGGCCTTCCAAAGTGCTGGGATTACAGGCATGAGCCACTGTGCCTGGCCAACATTCTAGGTGATTCTAACACAGGTAGTTCTGGTTCGTCCTTGAGCAAAGGGCCTACTGGCCTCCTCCCAATTGGGGAACATGCAGTTCTCCCTCTGGGGGGCCTTTCCCCACAAAGCACTGGCTGCAGGTCCAGCAGGCCTGGGTCTTACCAAGCTCAGGACTAGCATTTTCTCCCTGTGAGATGTGGGGGCAGATCTGAGTCCTCTGAGCCTTGATTTCTTTACCTGTTAAATGGTTCCAGCAAGGCCCACCCCAGAGAGTGACACCCAAACAGCATTCAGTGCCAAGTGCCCCATCCTCATCACTTTGTGAATACGTTCAGAATGAAAACCGGGTCTCCACCCACCCAGGCCATTGTACCCGAGACTGGGTTCTGGAGAGTGCAGGGCAGTGCAAACAAGTGGGGACGGCCACCTACCCCTCAAAGTCCTCGTTGAGCTGCTCGCAGAAGCCGTTGATGCTGGCCCAGTCGAGCTCCTTGTTCAGGGGGTTCGTGGCTCTATCTGGAAGAGGAGAGCTGGGGTCATTGTGGCCCGGCAGTGGGATTCCTGCTCTTCCACTCCTGACCCTGGCAAAGGTGTGGTCAGGAGTGGGAGAGGAGTGTGACTGAGCACGTGGGAAAGCTCTCCCCCTGCCTTCCTGCCCAGACAGCCTCAAGACCTGATTGTGGGTGTAGACAGACAGATGAGCACAGCTGCCCTCCAAAGGGCCCCACTTTTAGAGACTATGGTCAGGGCCCTTCCCCTCCTCCCCACTCCTCCCACCCCTGCAGCTGGACCCATCACGCCAGCCCCACCTCCTCTGATTCTGCTGAGAACAGTGTCTCCATAATTCTCATGAAATTTATGCTCAGAGGAGATCCAGAAGTAAGGGAGAAAAAAATCATAGTCCCGCCCTCAAGGAGCTGTGTAGCCGGGAAGTGGGCCAAGGGAAGCTAGGTTCTCAATAACGTGTGACAGAGGGAAGCCAAGGAGCTGTAGAAACACAGAGGAGGGGCCAGGCACGGTGGCTCATGCCTGTAATCCCAGCACTTTGGGAGGCTGAGGTGGGTGGATCACGAGGTCAGGAGATCAAGACCATCCTAGCTAACACGATGAAACCCCATCTCTACTAAAAATACAAAAATTAGCCGGGCTTGGTGGTGGGTGCCTGTAGTCCCAGCTACTTGGGAGGCTGAGGCAGGAGAATGGCGTGAACCCGGGAGGCGGAGCTTGGAGTGAGCCGAGGTCTCGCCACTGCCCTCCAGCCTGGGTGACAGAGCTGGGACTCTGGGTGACTCCGTCTCAAACAAACAAAAAAGAAACACAGAGGAGGGGACTCAGTTCAGTTTGGGGCTGAGGAGGCTGCCTGGAAGAGGCAACACACAAGCAGGGACCAGGAGGAGTCACCCAGGCTGGAGCTGGTACACCTCTGACCCACGCATGGCTGTATGGGCAGGAAAGATGCGGGTAACCACACGAGGCAGAGAATGAGGGGCCTCAGTAAGGAGTGTGAGTCTTACCATCACACCAGGTTCAGAAAGCCTTCATTCCCTTGGGAGTGGCTCCGGTGTCCCCTTCTCTAATCCTCTACTCCTGCCCAGGGTAGCAGTGCTGGGTCAGTTCTCTTTTGTGTCCCCCAGCCTGCTACGGCACTGCATCCCAGCCACTCATGTCCACACCTGTCTCCCCTTGGCAAATGAATGAGCAGTCAGCTGAGGGCAGGCAAAGGGTGAGGTTCTGGGGAAGACTGAATCCAGAAATGGATAGTGGCAAGGAAAGAGGGCCAACAGGTCTACATGAAGTGGTGTAAACACGACCAGACAGCTACCCCTTTAACCCCCAATACTGGTTAAACAACAATCTAGCTTACATGCTTCCCTGAACCTCCATTTCCCCATCTTGTAAAGCTGGAATGAAATATGGATTTTTTTTTTTTTTTGAGACGAGTCTCACGCTGTTGCCCAGGCTGGAGTGCAGTGGCACGATCTCGGCTCACTGCAAGCTCCGCCTCCCAGGTTCATGCCATTCTCCTTCCTCAGCCTCCCGAGTAGCTGGGACTACAGGCACCCGCCACCACGCCCGGCTAATTTTTTTTTGTATTTTTAGTAGAGACAGGGTTTCACCATGTTAGCCAGGATGGTCTCAATCTCCTGACCTTGTGATCCGCCCACCTTGGCCTCCCAAAGTGCTGGGATTACAGGTGTGAGCCACCGTGCCCGGCTGTATTTTTTTTTTTTTTTGAGACGGAGTCTCGCTCTATCGCCCAGGCTGGAGTGCAGTGGTGTGATCTCGGCTGACTGCAAACTCTGCCTCCCAGGTTCACGCCATTCTCCTGCCTCAGCCTCCCGAGTAGCTGGGACTACAGGTGCCCGCCACCACGCCCGGCTAATTTTTTTTTTTTTTGTATTTTTAGTAGAGACGGGGTTTCACTGTGTTAGCCAGGATGGTCTTGATCTCCTAACCTCGTGATCCACCTGCCTCGGCCTCCCAAAGTACTGGAATTACAGGTGTGAGCCACTGCGTCCGGCCTGTATTTTTTTATTTTTATTTTTTTTTGAGAAAGAGTCTTGCTTTGTTGCCCAGGCTGGAGTGCAGTGGCGAGATCTCGGCTCACTGCAATCTCAGCTTCCTGGGTTCAAACGATTCTCCTGCTTCAGCCTCCTGAGAGTAGCTGGGATCACAGGCGTCCACCACCATGCCCAGCTAATTTTTTTGTATTTTTGGTAGAGATGGAATTTCACCATGTTGGTCAGGCTGGTCTCAAACTCCTGACCTCAAATGATCCACCCACCTCGGCCACCCAAAGTGCTGGGATTACAGGCATGAGCCACTGTGCCTGACCAAAATATTGATTTTGGATGACAAAATACTTTTTGCATGGGAAGGCCATGGCGGCAGCCAGAGCTCGATCTTCATTTCTCCACAGCCCACCTCTAAGGACCACCCCTTCCCAGCCAGTTCTGCCCACGCCTGAGCACCGAGCTGAGGGTGTGGAAGGACACAGCCCAGGAGGTAGAACAGAGAAGGATCTGTGGACAGGAGGCTGGGGACTGACCCAGCATGTGGCGCCTGCCCTGGGCCATATGTTATGGCAGGGGGCCCAAAGCCCTGGAATCCCAGTGGCTGGCCGCCATTCATCCAACTCAGATTTAAGTATTCTGGGTGCTGGGGCTCCAGCAGTGAACAGACAAAATCCCTGCCCTCCTCAAGTTCACTGCCCAGCAAGAGAAACAATGAATACTCAGATTAACAAACCCCGTGTACTGCAGACTGTTGCAAAATGTTACAGAGCAAAGCATAGCAAGGAGAAGTGCAGACAGCCTGGGAGGTGGGGGCTGCTCTCTGGGAGGGCTTTCGGAGGGCTCTGGAGCCCTCGGGAGCTGCTCTCTGGGAGGGCTCTCAGAGCTGAGCTGAGATCGGAAGGACGAATGTTCTCTCTGGATCTAGATCTCTGTCCCAGGAGCTCCACAAGACCCTCTAGTCCCTCAGAAAAATGAAGCCCCTGTTGACCTCCTGGGGATACCAGGAATATGACCCTCCCCAACCCAGGGGTAAGGGTAACTGTCTACTCTGCCTCCGAGTCCCCAAACAAAGGCTGGGGAACATCAGTCTAAAGTTAGAGAATCACTGCCCATTCAATGACACCCAGCCAGAAGACCCTAAAACAGGAAGTCCCTTAAAGTGTCAAAGACACGTGAGTTGGAGTGAGGTCAGAGAAGCTGATTCTGGACTGCTCCTGGGTCAGACGCCAGTGAAGAGGAAGCGCTGGCATCATGAGACATCATCTTTCTCCCCCTGCCTCTGGCTGAAAGCCAGGGCCTCCAGATCCAAGGAGATCTGACTGACCTCCTTGGCCCATGGCCCCTGACCCTCAGCCCTCTTAATTCTACCTGAGGGGAGTACCCTCCCTAGCAGGCAGTTGGGGAGAACACCTAGAGAGGGAGGGAGGTGTTTCACAACAGGGTAAGACTCCACCCTGCCACTCTATAGTGCTGACAATAACATCATTTACCTCACTAGGCCGGGCGCGGTGGCTCACGCCTGTAATCCCAACACTTTGAGAGGCCGACGTGGGCGGATGAGTGGCTAACGCCTGTAATCCCAACACTTTGAGAGGCCTATATAGGCGGATCACCTGAGGTCAGGAGTTCGAGATCAGCCTGGCCAACATGGTGAAAGCCCACCTGTACTAAAAATACAAAAATAGCTGGGCGTGGTGGCGCACCTGTAATTCCAGCTACTCGGGAGGCTGAGACAGGAGAATCACTTGAACCCGGGAGGTGGAGGTTGCAGAGAGCTGAGATTGTGCCACTGCACTCCAGCCTGGGTGACAAGAGTGAAAACCCGTCTCAAAAAAAAAAAGAAGAAGCTATCCTTTACCTCCAGCCTCCACAAGGGAAGAGGAAAGATCTTACAATTCTGCTAGGACACAAAGGGGGAAGGAAAGGAGAAAATCCCAGCCCCAGTGTGTCAGGGCCCAGCCAAACCCAGGTATCTCTAACTTCTGCCTGGTTTTAGACTCTCTGGACTCTCAGAAAACCCCCACTGTTTCTAAACCTGAGAATGTTTTGTATGACCCACAGCTCAAGACCTGTGTCTGAGATCAGTTAGCCAGGGGCCCACCCATCCCCCCAGCCCAGTTGCTGCTGAGACCCAGGCGGACACTTCCGGCGTTCACAACGGTCAAGGGCTGCTGAGTGCCCCTTTTCCACCCCCTGCCCCTCTGGTGGCTAGGATGACTCTGAAACATCCCTAGAGGTTTGGTTCTGGGGCCAACCTCATGGTTCAACTCTGCTCAAGCCTGGCTTAAAAGGGGCCGGCCATGACCCCAAACCACGCTAGACAGTTGCCGGTGTGCCCGGGTCCAAGAGGGTTCCCTGAGGCCCTGGCAACGACGGGGTCCCAACAGCAGTTAAAGCCTTGGGAGAGAACCCTCACTAGACCAGGGAGAAGCCAGCCACGGCTTTCAGAGGCAGAGTCCAGGAGCGGGGCTGTGAGAGCAGGGGATCATCAGGGCTGTGGGTTAAGGAGCTCAGGTGGAGGGTTTGCGGGCTAGGAAGCCTAAGCAATAGGAAGCTACGTCTGAGGAGAAACAAGAAAAAAAGGGGTGTAGAAGCCTTTGAAGGAAGTTCAGCAAGAGCTGGGAAAGGCATCTTGGAGACTGAGGGGTTAGGCTGAAGGGAGTGACAGGGAGCTTGGAATTATTAATACTTCTGGAGTCTAAGACTCTCCCAAGCCTGTAGGGTGCGGGGGTTTCTCACTATGTGGCTAGAGACTAGGAGCGGCGGGAGGAATCAAATGGGGCAGTGGGTCCTCCCTTCCAGGACGGGGTAATGAGCAAATGTGACTACTTGCGGGCTCCAGGAACGCCATGCAGGGCCAGAGAGTGGAGGATTCGGGGCCTGAAAATAGTAGGGTCCCTCCCTCCCGGGTGTGAGATGCAACCCCGGGGAACCGCTCGCGTGCTCCTTCCCCGGGCCGCTACTCCGTGAAGCAATGTGAGCCTTGGGGGTTGGAGGCTGCTCTCTCCGTCCCGGGGGTTCCCGGCGCAGCTCACTCGCCGTCCCAGGGGTCATGGCCCAGGGATCCGACAGGTGGGCGGCGCCCGCTCCCACCGCTGGACCGCGCCGGGGCCGGGGTCCTCCATCGCTCCAGGGTCTGAGGGGCCGACTGAGGACACCGCCCCTCCCGGGCCGGGGGCGGGGCGTGAGGAGGGGGCGACCCGTACCCCGCCCCCGCCGGGAAGGGGCCCGCCTCGTGCCCCCGGTTCCGGTTCCGGTCCGGCCCGCGCCCCTCCCGGACACTCACTGATTCGCGCCTCCAGAGTCTCCGGCTCCATCGCGGGCTCCATCCGCCACCGGCCCCCAGCCTCGGCACCGCCCCCCCGCCCCCCGCAGCTCTCGCGGGACCTCCTGGGCACCGCCCTCTGCCGATTAAAGGGGCAACGTCCGAACGGGCGCGCTCGGCACCATAGAGAGGCCAACGAGCTCGCCTAGAGCGTCACCTACTCGCCCAACCCCACCCCCACGCGGCGTCTACGTCGCAGCTGGGACCGGCCGCCTGCTTTTCCGTTCCCGGCGCTCAGGCGGGAGAGGAAGTGGAGATACTGCAGGCTAAGGGCAGCACCATGGAAACCCCAAGGGACGCTCTAACTCGTTCTGCGTCACGGAGATGTCTGTGACCGCCTCCGGAAGAATTCTCTGCGGGCATGTTGCTGAGGGGCTCTGAGGCCACTTCCGGAGCCCTGAGCGGGTACTTCCGCTTAGAGTCGAACGTGGGAGAGTCCCTTAAAAGGGCGATAAGCTACATCCTCATGTACCTTGGCCGCTGTGAAAATGACGAAAATAAATCAGTTTCTTGAGTGCTTACAGTATTCTGGGCATTGTCCTAAGCACTATTTGTAATTAATCCATTTAGTTCTGACTCCTTACAACAAACCCACCAGATAATTAGTCGGCCTGAGGCCGCACAAGTAGCAGAGCTTGAACCCTGTGCCGTCTCCTCCATTCATCCAGCCAACGTTTAATGAACTCTTTGTATTTGCTTTGCTCTGTGATGGGCACAGAAGGAGATAGACAAGGCCAGATATTTATTACAGTGTGATAGGGGAAGCCCACGGGGTAGTGGGAACAAAGGAGGGGGCTCCTCCCCCAAACTGGGGTGGGGTGGGTGGGGGTGTTGTCAGGGGAGGGGTCGTGTCAGGGGAGGGGTCGTGTCAGGGGAGGTTTCAAGAGAAAGTGATACTGTACTTCGCTCAAAGACAGTCGGATTTCTCCACGTAGAGCTGGTGCGAAAAGATATTCAGGGAGAAAAAGTAGGATGAAGGCCGAGGAGGGCGGATCACGAGGTCAGGAGATCGAAACCATCCTAACACGGTGAAACCCCGTCTCTACTAAAAAAAAAAAAAAAAAAAAATTATCTGGGCGCGCCTTTAGTGCCAGCTACTTAGAAGGCTGAGGCAGAAGAATCGCTTGAACCCGGGAGGTGAAGGTTGCAGTGAGCCGAGATTGCGTCACTGCACTCCAGCCTGGGCGGCATAGCGAGACTCAGTCTCAAAAAAAAAAAAAAAAAAAAAAGTAGGATGAGTCCAGGGAGTTGGAAGTATTTCAATACGGCTCCCAGATATCTGCAAATAGATATCTATTTGCAGGAGATATCTTGGAATTAGGCTGGGGCAAGATCACCCAGGTCCCATGTTTTGCTGCCCTTTTTTTTTTTTTTCCCTGTAAGCAACGTTGGAGGTGTCGTTACAGTTTTACGGATGGTAGCAAAGTCAGGCTTTTGTTTTAGAAGGGTCCAGCAGTGGGAGGAAGATAGCAGTGGGAGCCAGACTGGAATCGGGGAGGACAGTACGAACAGACTTCCTAAGCTCGGCGCCTTTTCTCCTGTATCTCCCTCCATCAAAGACCTCCCTCACCTTGTGGCGTCACGACCTGGCGGCGCCTGGTCCCCGACTCACCTGGGTCCATTGCACTCTGTCGCCCCCTCGCGGCCGGCTGGGAAACCGGCCCGTGGCGACCTCTCCAGCGGTCCTGTGCCTGGGAGGGTTAAAGCTCCACTGAGACTAGGGAATCTGGCGAATCCGGTTCTGCCTTGGCGACTGACCTCGATTCACCTTGCGGAACCGCAGTAACCTCATCCAGGAGATGAGGGGGCTGTGCTGGGTCAGTTTTTCCCCTAAACTCAACCATTCAGCGACTGGGATGCTTTTCTAAATTCTCTCCCAAAGGCCATTGAGATTATACAGGGAAGTGATATGTATGTTTATTGCATTCCTCAACAAAAGCTGTAACGTAGTGTATACTTATAGCTTTTTGTTTATGTCTTTTACTACTGAAATGAATTATATATATTTTTTTATTTTATTTTATTTTTGAGACGGAGTCTCTCTCTGTCGCCCAGGCCGGAGTGCAGTGACGCGATCTCAGCTCACCACAACCTCTGCCTCCCGGGTTCAAGTGATTTTCCTCCCTCACCCTCCCGAGTAGCTGGGATTACCGGCGCCTGCCACCACGCCCGGCTAATTTTTTCATATTTTTAGTAGAGACGGGGTTTCACCATGTTGGCCAGGCTGGTCTCGAACTCTGGACCTCAAGTAATCCACCCGCCTGAGCCTCCCAAAGTGCTGGGATTACAGGTATGAACCACTGCGCCCAGCCTATTATATTTATTTTTGAGACAGAGTTTTACTCTGTCGCCCAGGCTAGAGTGCAGTGGCACGATCTCAGCTCACTGCAACCTCTGCTTCCTGGGTTCAAGCGATTCCCCTGCCTCAGCCTCCTGAGTTGCTGGGATTACAGGCATGCGCCATCATGCCTGGCTAATTTTTGTATTTTTAGTAGAGACAGGGTTTCGCCATGTTGGCCAGGCGGGTCTCGAACCCCTGACCTCAGGTGATCCACCTGCCTTGACCACCCAAAGTGTTTGGATTACAGGCGTGAGCCACCACGCCCAGCCTGAGATGAATTATTACTGAAATAAAACTCACATCGCATTTACTGCATTCATTTAGGGACATGTCTGTGCTGTCAGGAGTCACTTTTAAAGACAAAATAGATTTGATTTAGGTGCAAATTCTGACTTCACTGCTTTCTGGATGATCTTGAACAAGTGTGTCTGCAAAATTAATCCCCTACCACATGTTCCCTACCACCTTTTCTGCTGAACTTTTCTCCTTAGCACTTATCTCCACTACATATTTCATTTCTTTGTTGTGTTTTGTGTCTCTCTCCCCCACCAGAATGTAAGCTCCACCACGGCAATGGATTTTATTTAGTTACTTCACTAATAATATATCCCCAAGCCCTAAAACAGTAACTGTTACACAATAAGTATTCAATAAATATGCATCAAATAAATGAATGAATATGCCCAACATTGCACAGTGAGTATGGGGGTTTGGAGAGGCGAGCCAGGCTGTGCTTGTAACAAAGGCTCTAGGCTGTCCCTCTGAGTTCTGGGGAGCAGGGCGTGATAAGGTAGACTCAGGAGCTGTGTCTATGCGTGAAGGGCCTGGCCCAAACTGGGGATCAGGGTAGGAGGTACGGTAGGAGGAACCTAAAGATGGTGAAAGGAAGGAGGACCAACACGGGAAACTTGGAGGAAATGCCTGTGGCAGCCGTTCCCACCCATTCCCCACCATGAGCAAATGTGTTGCTTTGAGAGACTTGAGGAACCCCTGAGAAGGGCAGGTAAAGCTCAGCTATAATCACCTAAGCCATGCCGACCTCTAAGGATTTAACACCTCAGCTCCTTCCTAAGAAAACCCCTGGAACACTGGAAACGTTGGTGAGGGAGGGCTGGGGCGAGGGAATAGGAGCTGGGGAGATGGGCATCCTTGCAAACTTGGAGGAGAGATATGGGGGAGGACATGCAATTCTTTCTTGGAGGAGGATTGTAGAAGGTTCAGGAAACAAACTGAGGCGTGGCCCCAGCCTCAGCCCCTGTGACTCCAGTCAGATCCTGCATGTCCCTTCCGGGCATGGGAACCTCAGGGGAGGGGGGCACAGAGGACCATGGTTGTCATTGTCGCCTTTAATATTCCCACAGACCTCAGAGTTGAATTCTATTCTTCCTGTTTTACAGATGAGAAATCTGAGACTCTGAGCAAGGATGTGGTTGGCCAAGGCCCCCACGTGTCTCCATCACAAGAGCCCACATCAGAGCAAGTCCCTGCCTTCAAAGGATGGAAAGCACAGAAGCAGGCTGGGCGGGGTGGCTCAAGCCTACAATCCCAGCATTTTGGGAGGCCAAGACGGGTAGATCACTTGAGGTCAGGAGTTTGAGACCAGCCTGCTCAACATGGTGAAACCCCATCTCTACTAAAAATACAAAAATTAGCCAGGTGTGGTGGTATGCACCTGTAATCCCAGATACTTGCGAAGCTGAGGCACAAGAATTCCTTGAACCTGGGAGGTTGCAGTGAGCTGAGATCGCGCCACTGCACTCCAGCCTGGGCGACAGAGTGAGACTCCATCTCAAAAAAAAAAAAAAAAAAAAAGGCTAGTGGCTCAAGCCTGTAATCCCAGCACTTTGCCAGGCAGAGGCGGACGGATCACGAGGTCAGGAGATTGAGACCGTCCTGGCAAACATGGTGAAACCCCGTCTCTACTAAAAATACAAAAAATTAGCTGGGCGTGGTGGCGCGTGCCTGTAGTCCCAGCTACTCAAGAGGCTGAGGCAGGAGAATTGCTTGAACCCAAGAGGCAGAGGTTGCAGTGAGCCAAAATTGCGCCACTGCACTCCAGCCCGGGCAACAGAATAAGACTCAGTCTCAAAAAAAAAAAAAAAAGAATAAAAAAAGAAAACACGGAAGCAAACAAAGCACATGGAGGTAATTACGAAGGGACCCAAGTGGGCTAGTGTGAGAGAGTAGAGGCCATATGGGAAGTGGCCTGGACAGGCCTGTTGGAGTTGATATTTAAGCTGAGAAGGAGCCAGCGGTAGAAAGGGTGACTACGCAGACAGCAAGTGCAAAGGTCCTGAGGTCACACAGCTAAGAAGACAGAAAGCAGAATTTGAACTCAAGCTTGATTCTCTGCACCCAAAGTTCATGCATGATCCCAGGAGCCATGATTCCAGATGCTGCTGCTGACTGGGAGAGAGCAGACATCAGAAAGATGACAGAGCCTACGGAATGGATGTATTCAACTCCTCATGTATGTGTGCAGGGGACAGGGAGAAGGGCTCTATTTTCTGAATCCGATCTGGGCCAAGTGGTGTAACCAACATCATTGCCAAAATGTGTGAATTTACACAATAAAAGGCTCACAAAGTATTAAAATTTAGCTCTATTTCCCGGTGAATTTAATAAATTATCTTAATTGAAAAGAATCATGTTGGCTGGGTGCAGTGGCTCACACCTGTAATCCCAGCACTTTGGGAGGCCGAGGTGGGTGGATCACGAGGTCAGGAGTTCAAGACCAGCCTGACCGACATGGTGAAACCTCGTTTCTACTAATTAGCTGGGCGTGGTGGTGTAAGCCTGTAATCCCAGCTACTCAGGAGGCTGAGGCAGGAGAATCGCTTGAACCCGGGAGGCGGAGGTTGCAGTGAGCCAAGATCACACCACTGCACTCCAGCCTGGGTGACAGAGCGAGACTCCGTCTCCAAAAAAAAAAAAAAAAAATTATAATAAATATTTATTTATTATAAATAAAATTAAAAAAGAAAATGATGTTTAAGATGAAAAGAAATATAATTCAGTACAAATATATAAATGCCTGTGTTACAGAAGATTATCTCATTGGTTGTTTGCAGTTAAGCCTTTCCCCCAAAATCTAGATTGCCTGAAACAATGGGACAGCAAAAATAAGACCTGCTACAAGGTCAGCAAGACCCCGTCTCTACAAAAAATTTAAAAAATTAGCCAGGCATGGCCAGGCACAGTGGCTTACTCCTGTAATCCCAGCACTTTGGGAGGCCGAGGTGGGCAGATCACCTGAGGTCAGAAATTCGAGACCAGCCTGGCCAATATGGTGAAACCCCATCTCTACTAAAAATACAAAAAATTAGCCGGGCTTGGTAATGCATGCCTGTAATCCCAGCTATCTGGGAGGCTGAGGCAGGAGAATTGCTTGAAACCTGGGAGGCGGAGGTTGCAGTGAGCTGAGATTGTGCCACTGCACTCCAGCCTGGACAACACAGTGAGACTCTGTCTCAAAAAAAAAAAATTAGCGAGGCATGATGGCGCCTGCCAGTGGCCCCAGCTACTAGGGAGGCTGAGGTGGGAGGATGGATTAAGTCCAGGAGGTTGAGGCTACAGTGAGCCATGATTATGCCACTGCACTTCAACCTGGGCAACAGAGTGAGATCTCAAAAAAAAAAAAAAAAAATCTGCTGCAAGGGAAATCTGGGCCATTTCAGGGTGGGAGTGAGGGGACTGTGGCCACTAATGAAATGGATTTGTTCATTGGGCTTTTCCATGTCCTGGGAAGATTGGGGGGCAGGTGGGAATCTCCCATGTGACAGTTCATTTCACTACCTTTGATCTGATTCCAAATCAGGATAATTTGCTACCATTTATTGACTCATCCATTATGTGCCATGGCTTTTTCATTTATATCATACCAGTACTTTAAGATAGTTATTAGTCTTCTCAAATTACAGAGGAGGAAAGTAGAGGGCCAGTGAGGTTACAGAAACTCTTGCCTGAAGCCATAAATGGGGAGCTGGGGCCAAGTTCTGCTTGATTTCCAAGGTGCTGCAGGCTCTACCCTGCTGGTTTTCTCTGGGTGACCACCATGTAAAAGCCCCTTGGAGAGGCTGGGCACAGGCACAGGGGGCTCACGACTGTAATCCAAACACTTTGGGAGGCCAAGGCAGGAGGATCACTTGAGCTCAGGAGTTTGAGACCAGTCTAGGCAACCAGAAAAAAAAAAAAAAAGAATTAGCTCAGCGCTGAGTGTGGTGGTATGCAACTATAGTCCCAGCTACTCGATACGGCAGGAGGATCGCTTGAGCCCAGGAGGTCAAGGCTGCAGTTAGCCGGCCCAGGAATGTCTGCCCAAAGTTAGAGAACCTTAACCTCTGCTCAGTCCACCTCATGCTCCCCAAGCCAACTGTTCCTGCCTGCTCTAGCTCCCCAAGGACCTTAGATCTGAGAAGAGCTTATGTAGATTCACCTCAAGGTCTGACTACATGGTGTGGACCATCTCTGCTGCAGAGTGGGACTCTAGTCCCCAGCCTCCTCTGCCCCAGCTCTTCATAATATCAGCCTCTCCCTACTCTAGGTGCTCAGGTGTACCGGATGGGGTCATGTTTGCCAGTGACTGAATTGTGTGCCAACCAGTTAGGGGACAGAAGGGGCTGGGGAATGAAGAGTCTGAGCAACTCCCTTTTCCCCACCCCCGGACACCTTTTCATTGGGTAGGAAGATGTAAATTACAGGGGCGTGGACACTGAGGCGGATACTATGCCCTTACCCCACTGGCCAGAAGGAAACTAGAGACAGCGGATTTCATCAATGGGAAGACAATATGCAAATACTGCCCCGTGTTAGTTGGCTGATGGACAGTTGCTACTTTTCATTCTTGTGCTCTAGCACTTGGAGTTTACAGCATGACTCTGAGGTCGAGGTTACACAAGAAAGCAATTAATGATTCAGCGCCCACCTTGTGCCAAGTCCTGTGGCAGGACAGGGGAGGAAGTTGGGGGGAATAAGAGAGGCAAGCCCCTGCCCTGGTAGAATTTACATTCAAGTAAATTACTCAGCCCGTAAATGAACAATATACTTTCAGATTGGATGGTGCCACAAAGACAATCAGCCAAGAAGCTGTAGGCTGGTGGGGCTGTCCGAAGTCCTGTGTGGGTTTATTCAAAGTGCTGCAGAGGAGGGCGAGGGACCAATTACCCGACAGGTGGCTGAATGAGTGTGAGACAGAAGGGGCAGTGAATGGAGAATGAGGAGGAATTTCCTCCCCAAAGGTGGGTTGGGGGAGATGGTGTTTGCTAAATAAAATCTTTTTTTTTTTTTTGAGATGGAGTTTCACTCTGTGGCTCAGGCTGGAGTGCAGTGGCTAGATCTCGGCTCACTGCAACCTGCGTCTCCCACATTCAAGCAATTCTCCTGCCTCAGCCTCCCGAGTAGCTGGGATTACAGGCACGAGCCACCGCGCCCGGCTAATTTTTTTGTATTTTTAAAAATTATTTATTTATTTTTGAGATGGAGTCTTGCTCTGTCACCCAGGCTGGAGTGCGGTGGCACAGTCTCGGCTCACTGCAACCTCTGCCTCCCGGGATTAAGTGATTCTTCTGCCTCAGCCTCCCGAGTAGCTGGGAGTACAGGCATGCGCCACCACGCCAGCTAATTTTTGTACTTTTAGTAGAGAAAGGGTTTCTCCATGTTGGTCAGACTGGTCTCAAACTCCCAACCTCAGGTGATCCACCTACCTCGGCCTCCGAAAGTGCTGGGATTACAGGCATGGGCCACCAGGCCCAGCCCTGTTTTTTGTATTTTTCATTGAGACGGGGCTTCACCATGTTGGCCAGGCTGGTCTCAAACTCCTGACCTCGAGTGAGCCGCCCGCCTTGGCCTCCCAAAGTGATGGGATTACAGGCTTGAGCCACCTCGCCCAGCCTGCTAAATAAAATCTTTAGAACTGGGGAGCATGGCAATGCTGGAGGGAAAGAAGTGCAGGACAGGAGAGTGCAGAGCTGTGTGACTTCGGGTAAGTCACTTCACCTCTCCAACCTCGGTTGCTGGGAGGTTAGAAATAACATGTACATGGCCGGGCACGGTGGCTCATGCCTGAAATCTCAGCACTTTGGGAGGCTGAGGCGGGCAGATCACCTGAGGTCAGGAGTTCAAGACCAGCCTGGCCAACATGGTGAAACCCTGTCTCTACAAAAATACAAAAATTAGCCGGGCATGATGGCACGTGCCTGTAATCCCAGCTACTCGGCAGGCTGAGGCAGGAGAATCGCTTGAACCCGGGAGGCGGAGGTTGCAGTGAGCTGAGATTGAGCCACTGCACCCCAGGCTGGGAGACAGAGGAGGCTCTGTCTCAAAACAAAAACAAACAAAAAAAGGAAGTTACACGTACATTACCTAGCACGCGGTAGGCATTCTATAAATTCTTTTTTTTTTTTTTTCTGAGATGGAGTCTCACTCTGTCGCCCAGGCTGGAGTGCAGTGGCGTGATCTTGGCTCACTGCAAGCTCCACCTCCCGGGTTCATGCCATTCTCCTGCCTCAGCCTCCCGAGTAGCTGGGACTACAGGCGCCCGCCACCACGCCCGGCTAATTTTTTGTATTTTTAGTAGAGACAGGGTTTCACCGTGTTAGCTAGGATGGTCTCGATCTCCTGACCTAGTGATCCACCCACCTGGGCCTCCCAAAGTGCTGGGATTACAGGCGTGAGCCACCGCGCCTGGCTGGCACTCTATAAGTTCTAAATAAAGAAGCCTCCACCAGCCTGGGCAACATGGCAAGACCCTGTCTCCATAAAAAAATTTTAAAAATTAGCCCGTCATGGTGGTGCATGCCTGTGGTCCCAGCTATTTGAGAGGCTGAGGTAGGAGGATGGCTGGACCCAGGAGGTTGAGGCTACAGTGAGCTGTGATCGTGCCACTGCACTCCAGCCTGGGCAACAGAGCTAGGTACTGTGTCAAAAAAAAAAAAAAAAAAAAGGCTCCAAATGGTGGCTGCTATTGGTATACTGGGAGAGGCCGTCAGTTCCATTCTCTAGGTTTAGGGCTTTGGTCCTACCCTTTTCCTTCTCTTCTCCTAGAGCATATAGCTTCAAAGCACCTGTCTTCACTTCTCCCTGCCTTGGCTTGCCTACAGCCCTGCACACTGGCACTTTGTCTCCCTGCCTCCCTGCAGGACAAGGACTTCAAGGACAGCAGGAAAGACTTGGATCAGCTCCAAGGAAGAACTTCCTTGTCTTTCTGTTAGAGTTGCAGCTGCTGGGGGGAGGGGATCAGAATGCAGTTCTCACAGAGTTAGAGAATTCTAGAGCGGGAAGAAATCTTTGAGATTGGGCCAGGCGCAGTGGCTCACACCTGTCATCTCAGCACTTTGGGAGGACCAGGCAGGCGGATCACTTAAGGCCAGGAATCTGAGACCAGCCTGGCCAACATGGTGAAACCCCGTCTGTACTAAAAATACAAAAAAAGAAAAAAAAATTAGCCAGGCGTGTTGGTTGCGTGCCTGTAATCCTAGCTACTAGGGAGGCAAAGGTGGGAGAATCGCTTGAACCCAGGAGATGGAGGTTGCAGTGAGCCGAGATCGCGCCACTTCACTCCAGCATGAGTGGCAGAGTGAAACTTCATCTCAAAAAAAAAAAAAAAAGAAAAAAGAAAAAGAAATCTTTGAGATCATCTATCTAGTCCAGAGCTTTTTGATATTTTGTGGCAGATTTCCAATTTAAGAAATATGTTTTACATCAGGATGGGATGAATTCAGATTTCGTGGAGCCTGAAATTTGTAAAAAATTGGGGAAACTCTAAGAAAAAAGGATATAAAATGACTGATGCAAAATTATGTATTTATTTATTTATTTTTTTGAGACAGAGTTTCGCTCTTGTTGCCCAGGCTGGAGTGCAATGGCATGATCTCGGCTCACCAAAACCTCCGCCTCCCAGGTTCAAGCGATTCTCCTGCCTCAGCCTCCTGAGTAGGTGGGATGACAGGCATGCGCCACCAGGCCCGGCTAATTTTGTATTTTTAGTAGAGACGGGGTTTCTCCATATTGGTCAGGCTGGTCTCGAATTCCTGATCTCAGGTGATTCACCTACCTCGGCCTCCCAAAGTGCTGGGATTACAGGCGTGAGCCACCACGCCCTGCTTATGTATTTATTTAGAGTGAGAAATAGATAAAAAACTTTAAAATGTTGGCAAATACCATAATTATTAAATCAGAACAATAAGATATTTTTACTTAAGCACCTGACATGCCACTGTAATACATTTTTTTCCTACAATTTTGGGCCACGTGCTTGTTATGTAGCAATGATTTTATTTTATTTTATTTTCTATTTTAATTTTTATTTATTTATTTATTTTTTGAGATGGAGGCTTGCTCTGTCCCCCAGGCTGGAGTGCAGTGGCGCAATCTCAGCTCAGTGCAACCTCTGCCTCCTAGGTTCAAGCGATTCTCCTGCTTCAGCCTCCTGAGTAGCTGGGACTATAGGCACGTGCCACCACTCCTGGCTAATATTTTGTATTTTTAGTAGAGACAGGGTTTCATTGTGTTAGCCAGGATGGTCTCGATCTCCTGACCTCATGATCCACCCGCCTCGGCCTTCCAAAGTGCTGGGATTACAGGCGTGAGCCACTGCGCCCGGCCTTATTTTTATTTTTTTTGAGATGGAGTCTCACTCTGTCACCCAGGCTGGAGTGCAGTGGCGCGACCTTGGCTCACTACAACCTCCAGTTTCTGGGCTCAAGCGATTCTCCTGCCTCAGCTTCCCGAGTAGCTGGAACTGCAGGCATGCACCACCACGCCTGGATAATTTTTGTATTTTTAGTAGAGGCGGGGTTTCACCATGTTGGCTGGGTTGGTCTCAGACTCCTGGCCTCAAGTTACCGCCCACCTTGGCCTCCCAAAGTGCTGGGATTACAGGGGTGAGCCACCACGCCTGGCCTCTATTTTTATTTTTTTAGAGATGAGGTCTTACTCTGTCATCCAGGCTGGAGTGCAGCGGCATGATCATGAAGTTCACTGCAGCCTCGAACTTCTGGGAACAAGGGATCCTCCTGCCTCAGCCTCCCCACTAGCTGGGACTATAGGCATGCACCACCATGGCCAGCTTATATTTTCTTTTTTTTGAGATAGAGTCTCACTCTGTCGCCCAGGCTGGAGTGCAGTGGCATGACCTTGGCTCACTACAACCTCTGTCTCCTGGGTTCAAGCGATTCTGCCTCAGCCTCCCGAGTAGCTGGGATTACAGGTGCCTGCCACTACGCCTGGATAATTTTTGTATTTTTAGTAGAGACGGGATTTCACCACGTTGGCTGGTCTCAAACCCCCGACCTCAGGTGATCCGCCTGCCTCAGCCTCCCAAATTGCTAGGATTACAGGCGTGAACCACCGCGCCCAGCCTCCAGATTATATTTTCTATAAAGGGAAAGACAAGTCAGCTTTCTGGCATGGTTGATCAAAAAATGTTTTTTACTTTTTTATTTTAGGAAAGTTTTTCTCAGTGTCATATTGTGTTGTTGGTAATGTGTTACATGCTGAGACACAGCTCGTGTGTCATGCCGTGTAAATCACGAGGTGTAGAAACATTTGCTGTTTGCAGTACTGCTTCAGGTTTGTGCTCTGCAAAAGCATTCTGATCAATTCGACTGCATATGCTTTCTAACAAAAAACCAAATCTTGCGTGGTACACTTGTAATTACATATGCAACGTTATTAACTATGTTCGCAATAGGCAGGAGTTCTATTCTAACCAAGTATCAATGGGAACTGAATCATCCATTTATAATTTAATGCATCTGATAATTGGAAGAATTTTCTACAGACTAGCTTCTGCTTCCCTACAATGCAGACCTTGTTTCTCCTCCCAGGACCACATTCTTCCCATGTCGGGCATCTAGGATGTATACCGTGGTCATAGAGTGACCCCTGTCCCTGCACCTTTAGGTCAGGATGCCAGATGTGTCAGGGGGGTTCCAGGAGTATTTCTGGAAGCCATTCCTACACTAGGGCCACTGGCAATCACGTAACTAGTCACAGAAGTGACTGTGAACCTTATAACTATAACCCACTGATTTCAATTTTTTTTTTTTTGAGGCGGAGTCTCATTCTGTTGCCCAGGCTGGAGTGCAGTGGCGTGATCTCGGCTCACTGCAACCTCTACCTCCTGGGTTCCAGTGATTCTCCTGCCTCAGCCTCTTGAGTAGCTGGGATTACAGGTGCCCATCATCATGCCCGGCTAATTTTTACTTATTTATTTATTTATTTATTTTTAGACGGACTCTCGCTCTGTCGCCTAGGCTGGAGTGCAGTGGCACGATCTCGGCTCACTGCAAGCTCCGCCTCTCGGGTTCAAGTGAGTCCCCTGCCTCAGGCTCCCAGGTAGCTGGGACTACAGGCGTGCGCCACCACGCCCAGCTAATTTTTTGTATTTTAGTAGAGATGGGGTTTCATCATGTTGGCCAGGATGGTCTCGATATGACCGCGTGATCTGCCCACCTCGGTCTCCCAAAGTGCCGGGATTACAGGTGTGAGCCACCGCGCCTGGCCTGTTTTTTGTGTTTTTTTTTTTGGTATTTTTAGTAGAGACAGGGTTTTACTATATGTTAGGCAGGCTGGTCTCGAAATCCTGATCTCAAGTGATCCACCCACCTCAGCCTCCCAAAGTGCTGAGATTACAGGTGTGAGCCACCATGCCTGGCAAACTTTAAATTAAGTGTATGTCCAACTTACCCATTAGTGGGGTCTCAAAAACGCTTATGGCCACCTCAGTATCCCCTTCCCCAGGGGAAGTGTGACAGAGAGCAAGTCAGTGGAAAGAGATAGCAGCAGCCCTGATTGTGACTTAAAACTCTTACTTTTGGGCCAGTCATGGTGGCTCACGCCTGTAATCCCAGCACTTTGGGAGGCCGAGGTGAGCGGATCACTGAGGTCACGACTTCGAGACCAGCCTGACCAACATGGAGAAACCCCATCTCTACTAAAAATGCAAAAAATTAGCCAGGCATGGTGGCGCGTGCCTGTAATCCCAGCTACTTGGGAGGCTGAGGCAGGAGAATCGCTTGAACCTGGGAGGTGGAGGTTGCAGTGAGAGAGATCATGACCTTGCAGTCCAGCCGGGCAACAAGAGTGAAGCTCCATCTCAAACACAAACAAACAAACAAAAAAACCTCTTACTTTTGCAAACTGTTCAACACATGAACACTTGCTAAGGTCTCTCCCAAGACAAGGGAGGAGCCCTGGAATTTAAGGTCTATTAGCGTCATGGAAAATCCATCTCTGACTAGGCCGGACGCCGTGGCTCACACCTGTAATCCCAGCACTTCGGGAGGCCGAGGTGGCCGGATCACCTGAGGTCAGGAGTTCGAGACCAGCCTGACCAACATGGGGAAACCGCATCTCTACTAAAAATACAAAATTAGCTGGGCGTGGTGGCGTGTGCTTGCAGTTCCAGCTACTCGGGAGGCTGAGGCAGGAGAATCCACTGAACCCGGGAGGCAGAGGTAGCAGTGAGCCGAGATTGTGACCCTGCACTCCAGCCCGGGCAACAAGAGTGAAATTCCGTCTCAAGAAGTAAAAAACAAAAACAAAAAACTCCATCTCTGACTCACACACACACACACGCACACGCGTGCACACACACGCACACATAATCAAGTTTCACACGGCAATACTTACCCTACGTGCCAGGCATACTGATATCTTCTGTTCTGTTCTCTTTGGCAGCCTACAGTTAGAAGGTGCTGGTCCAAGTCTCATTTGAGTCCAGAGTGGATTAGTGGCTTGCTGAAAGTCACAGAACCAGTAGCCCCAGAGCTTTGTCACCTGCCTCCCAGCCTGTGGGCCTTTTCTCTGCCCTCACGAAACGCCTTTTCCCTTTGGGCTGCCTTTTGCTGTGGGTCTCTTTTTCTGCTGGGAAAGGGCTGGATTGGGTCAGGGGCCATTTCTACTTGCTTCTCTGTATATCCATGGGCCCTACTCACAGAGGTTCAGGAGATGGTGGTTGAATGAATGGAATGAATGCAAACAAACACTTGGCCTTTATCCAGTTCATATCCATCACTTTTTCACTGACCTCCAGACCTGAACCCACAATTCACCTTCAGGTGACAACTCAGGAACCCCACAGCGCCACCGTGAACGGTTGGGCAGGTTGCGCACTGCACATAGCACCTGGCTAAGCATTCAACCAGACATCCAGCTCACCTCCATCTGCCAAACCCCTCATCCTGGGGTGGGTTATACCTTTTCCTAATTTGCACAAAAGCACTGATGGGTTAGCGTCAACCCTGCCCTCAGACCTGGGTTCTTACTTCCTGGGCAACTTGGGGCAAATTACCTAACCTCTCTAAGTTTGCTCCTCTGTAAAATGGAGACTGTAATACCTACTTCAAGGGTTGGCATGTGGTTAAAGTGATAGCATATGCACAAAGTCAGCGCTCAGTTGTCCCCTAGAAATCATGACACGCTTGCACAAAGGGCCACGTTCACAGAGGATCATGCAGGTTTGCTCGTAAAAGTCAAAGACTAGAAACAACCTAAATGTCCACCAGTAGGTGACTGGCTGAAAATGTCGAAGGTGGAATACATCCCAGCCTTTAGAAAGAGAAAAGTGTTGGCCAGGCACGGTGGCTCATGCCTGTAATCCCAGCACTTTGGGAGGCCGAGGCAGGCGGATCATGAGGTCAGGAGATTGAGACCATCCTGTCTAACATGGTGAAACCCCGTCTCTACTAAAAATACAAAAAATTAGCTGGGCGTGGTGGCGGGCGCCTGTAGTCCCAGCTACTCGGGAGGCTGAGGCAGGAGAATGGTGTGAACCCGGGAGGCAGGGCTTGCAGTGAGCCAAGATTGCGCCGCTGCACTCCAGCCTGGGCGACAGAGCGAGACTCTGCTCAAAAAAAAAAAAAGAGAAATGTGTTTCACTGAGATGGAACAATTTCCAAGATATGCTGTTAAGGGAATAAAACCAAAGTACAGAACAGCCAGTATAGGCCAGGCATGGTGGCTCATGCCTGTAACCCTAGCACTTTGGGAGGCCAAGGCAGGAGGATCGCTTAAGCCCAGGGGTTCAAGACTAGCCTGGGCAACATGGCGATACCATGTCTCTACAAAAAATATAAAAATTAGCCGGATGTGGTGGCATGTACCTGTAGTCCCAACTACCTGGGGGGCTGAGGCAGGAGGATCATTTGAGCCTAAGGGGTTGAGGCTGCAGGGAGCCATGTTTGAGTCACTGCCACTGCTCTCCAGCCTGGGTGACAGAGTGAGATCCTGTCTGAGAAAAAAAAAAAAAGGGCCAGGCGCGGTGGCTCACACCTGCAATCCCAGCACTTTGAGAGGCCGAGGTGGGCGGATCATGAGGTCAGGAGATTGAGACCGTCCTGGCTAACATGGCGAAACCCTGTCTCTACTAAAAATACAAAAAATTAGCCGGCGGTGGTGGCACGCGCCTGTAGTCCTAGCTACTTGGGAGGCTGAGGCAGGAGAATTGTTTGAACCCGGGAGGCAGAGGTTGCAGTGAGCCGAGATCACACCACTGCACTCCAGCCTGGGTGACAGAGACTCCATCTCCAAAAAAAAAAAAAAAAAAAAAAAGACGCAGTCAGTGTCTGGCATGTTTTCATCTGCGTAGCACATAGAATATCCCTGGAAACAAGCATGAGAGAGATATTGGCTGTGGGGATTGAGAAAAGAGGGAGACTTGCTTTTCCCTGTAAAGCCCTTTTGAGCTGTGTGAAGTGTTTTAATCACATGCTTGTCTTAATTGTCATATTTTTAAGTAGAGGTTTAGCAATTGAAAAGCTGTTTTTCTTCCTAATTTATATTGTTCTCTTAGTGGCCAGCAGGGGGAGGTAAATGCTTTCTCTCTTCAAACATCTAAACCACCCCGTTGACAACCACCCTTCTTGAGACAGGAGAATGGCTTGAACCGGGAGGCGGAAGTTGCAGTGAGCTGAGATTGCACCACTGCACTCCAGCTCGGGTGATAGAGCAAGACTCCGTCCGGGGCGGGGAGCGCCTGGCCAATTTTAACCATCTTTAAATGTAGGATTCTGTGGCATTTATTACATTTATAACATTGTGCAACCATCACCACTATCTAGTCCCAAAACTTTTTTTATCACCCCAAACAGAAGCTCTATACCCATTAAACAGTAACTCCACTATTCTCCCATCCCCTCAGCCCCTGATAGCTTCTAATCTACTTTCTGTCTCTATAAATTGTCTATTGCAAATATTTCATATGAGTAGAATCATACAATATTTGTCCTTTTGTGTTTGGCTTCTTTCATTGAACATAATGTTTTCAAGTTTCATCCATGCTGTAGCATGCAGCATGTATCAGCACTTCATCCTTTTTCATAGCTAAATAATATTCCATTGTCTGCTGGGCACGGTGGCTCATGCTGTAGCAGGACGAGCCACAGACAAAACTCCTCAGACACCGAGTTAAAGAAGGCAGTGGTTTATTCGGCCAGGAGCATCAGGCAAGACTCCTGTCTGAAGAGCCGAGCTCCCTGAGTGAGCGATTCGTTTCCCTTTTAAGGGCTCACAACTCTAAGTGGGTCCGCATGAGAGAGTCGTGATGGATTGAGCAAGCAGAGGGTATGTGACTGGGGGCTGCATGCATCGATAATCAGAACGAAACAGAACAGGACAGGGATTTTTACAATGCCTTTCCATACAATGTCTGGAATCTATAGATAACATAACCAGTTAGGTCAGGGGTCGATCTTTAACTACCAGGCTTAGGTCAGGCAGGCCCAGGCCTGGTTTCAGGTCTGGTTCCTTGCTTTCGGGTCTGGTTCCTAGGCGCCAGGCTACCTGCCTTTAGTTTTGCTTCTCTTTCCTTTTCTGAGTATAAGACAATATAACACAATATGAGAGGATCTGTCTCTCTTCTCTCAATGCCTGTAATCCCAGCACTTTGCGAGGCTGATGTGGGTGGATCACAACGTCAGGAGTTCAAGACCTGCCTGGCCAAGATGATGAAACCCCGTCTCTACTAAAAATACAAAAATTAGCTGGGCATGGTGGCGGGTGTCTGTAATCCCAGCCACTTGGGTGGCTGAGGAAGAGAATTGCTTGAATCCGGGAGGCGGAGGTGGCAGTGAGCCGAGATCATGCCACTACACTCCAGCCTGGAAGACAGAGCAAGACTCCCTCTCAAAAAAAAAAAAAAATTCCACTGTTTGTATATACCACATTTTGTTTATCTATTCATCTTTTTTTTTTTTTTTTTTTGAGACAAGGTCTTTCTCTGTTGCCCAGGCTAGGGTGCGGTGGTGCAATCACAGCTCGCAGCCTTGGCCTCTGAAGCTTAAATGATTCTCCCACCTCAGCCTCTCAAGTAGCTGGAACTACAGGTGTGTGCCACCATACCTGGCTAATTAAAAAAAAATTTTTTTTTTGTAGAGATGAGGTCTCACTATGTTGCCCAGGCTGGTCTCGAACTCCTGCCTCAATCAGTCCTCCTGCCTCAGCCTCCCAAAATGTTGGGATTACAGGCATGAGCCACCATGCCCAGCTCCTTTCTTTCTTTCTTTTCTTTTTTTTTTTGAGACAGAGTCTTGCTCTGTGGCCCAGGCTGGAGTGCAGTGGCGTGATCTCGGCTCACTGCAACCTCTGCCTCCCAGGTTCATGCCATTCTTCTGCCTCAGCCTCCCGAGTAGCTGGGACTACAGGCGCCCGCAACCACGCCCGGCTAATTTTTTGTATTTTTTAGTAGAGACAGGGTTTCACTGTGTTAGCCAGGATGGTCTTGATCTCCTGACCTCGTGATCCTCCTGCCTCAGCCTCCCAAAGTGCTAGGATTACAGGCATAAGCCACCGCGCCGGGCCGTTAGCTCCTTTCATCTGTTGGTAGATGCTTGGGTATTTCCACCTTTGGTCTGATGAATAATGTTGCTATGAACATTGGTTTACAAATATTAGTTTGAGTTCCTGCTTTCGATTCCTTTGGGTATGTGCATACTTGGGAGTAGAATTGCTAGATCATAGGGTAATTCCATGTTTAGCTTTTTGAGGAACTGCCAAACTATTTATCATAGCAGCTGCAACATTTTACATTCCCACTAGCAACATATTATACAAGAATTGAAACTGTTTTGTTTTTTTTTTTTTGAGAAGGAGTCTTGCTTTGTCTCCTAGGCTGGATGGAGTGCAGTGGTGCCATCTTGGCTCACTGCAACCTCTACCTCCTGGGTTCAAATGATTCTTGTGCCTCAGCCTCCTGAGTAGCTGGGATTACAGGCATGAGCCACCATGCCCGGTTAATTTTTGTATTTTTAGTAGAGATGGGGTTTCACCATGTTGGCAGAGCTGATCTTGAACTCCTAACCTCAGGTAATCCACCACCCTTGGCCTCCCAAAGTGCTGGGATTACAGGTGTGAGGCATCGCGCCTGGCCAAGAATCGAAACCTTAATTTATAAAACCAAACAAGTGCCAGTTGCCTGCTAGGAAATGGACAGACTGGTGCAGCAGTGGTGAGGTCTCTTTACCTCTTTGCAAAATTGGCTCCTGTGCTGGGCTGAGGATGTGGAGTGTGAAGGCCAGAGAGGGAAGGGCTGGAGGACTCTAGGATTCTGCAGGGAACAAAGGTGGGCCAGTGAAATCCCCAGCTTGGGAGGTGGCTGGTAGGGGCAGGAGGAGCTGGCCGAGGGGGAAACTGAAACCCAGAGATCCTTAGACATTGAGCTGGAGGTCATCATACCCAACCCCTTTTGCTCCTGCTGGGGGAACAAGGGTTGGGGCTGTCACGCGTACAGAGGAGAGAATGGAGCAGAGAATGCCTGCTCCAGGAAGGTCCCAGATAAGCACCTAATTAGCAAACTAAGATGCAGGCGAGAGACCTCGCAATGGCCCAATGTATGCAGAGTGCTGAGCAAATGCCAGCCAATTAGCTATTAAATACAGAATAATAATAGTTGAGTACCTACTATGTGCCATATTCTGTATGCCAAGCCCATTACATACATTCTCTAGGAAGCTGAGGCTACCTGGCCTGCCCAAGGTCACACAGCCAGTAAGAGGCAGCGAGGACTTGAGGCCAATGCCATTCCATGAAGGTGCCGGAGCAGGCAGCAGCTCTGGACACCCAGCCACAGTCTCATCTGCTCTCCTGCAGCCCATGGTCTCCCCAGGGGCTCTGGGAATTAGGGGAGAATTCATGACCGCTCTGGTTGGTGGGTCTCGGGGGTTGTGAACTTGACCTGCAAGGGTATTACGGCACCTAGGTCCTGCTCCCATCCTAAAAATAAAGGGTCAGCTTCTGAAATGGACATTTCCCTGAAGGCCTGTACCTGTTGATTTTGGCCTTCAGGAAAATGTCCATTTAAACCAAGCTGCTTCTGGAATCCTTTGGATTCTGATTCTGGGAGATGAGGCCCTGGGGGCTCATAGGTGTTTCCCCTTGAGGAAGGAGGCTTGTATATGTACGGGGTGCTGCGGGGAGGCAGCCCAGATGGTCCTGAGACTGCAATCATCAGAAAAGCAGTGATGGCAGCAGAATCTGTGTGGCCCAGGGCAGAGCTGGGGCCAACTGTGAGAGGAAGGGGATTGCCCCCAGGGACAGACTTCAGTAAGAGTGGGGGTTTCCAGTGGCCATAGGTGCTCAGGGTGGATCAGAAGCCTTGGGAGTGGGTGTGCTCCTGCGACTAGGGCTGCACTTGGCGGGGGACCTCCTTTGGTTGTTTACCACATTAGAGATGGATAAATGCTCCTCTCCCTGCTTGGCAAACACAAAGATTGAGGCGGATATAGTCCTGTCCTTGGCAGATATAATCCTGCCAGAAGCTGGGGGTGGGGTGGGAATGCTGGGGTGAGCAGCGTTGCTTCATTGCTTCTGTTGTTTTAGCCTCTCCTCACCATCCCCAGGTACCCGCCCGCATGGACAGCTGTGACTGGGTGATTAAGATGCAGAAGGCTCAGGTCAGGCGCTGTGGCTCACGCCTGTAATCCCAGCACCTTGGGAAGCCAAGGCAGGCAGATCACCTGCGGTCAGGAGTTCAGGAAAAGCCTGGCCAACATGGTGAAACCTCGTCTCTACTACAAATACAAAAATTAGTCGGGCGTGATGGCGGGTGCCTATAATCCCAGCTACTTGGGAGGCTGAAGCAGGAGAATCACTTGAACCTGGAAGGTGGAGGTCACAGTGAGCCGAGATTGCACCACTGCAGTCCAGCCTGGGCAACAGAGCGAGACTCTGTCTCAAAAAAAAAAAAAGGCTCCACTATCCATGGAAAGACTGTGTGGCCTGGGCCAGGGAGAAGGAACTGCACTCAGGACTCAGGTCACCTGTCTCTGAGGAAGAGCACTCAAGGACCACCCAAGTCACAGAAGCAGCTTGGTTTATATCTTCAATTTCTAAAGACACAGAGATGGAAAATCTTCTTGCCACTTATAAGAAGGTGGACACAGAACCTGATGATCTTTTCTGTAAATCCACCCAGCACCACACGTGCATAAGTTGGCGTGGCCCTGAGACGGAGGCTTCCTGGTTCAAAAGGCTGGGATGATAAGCCAGGGAGGGGGCAGGAGGGATGGAGGGAGGGGCCGTGCTGCACCAGATTGGGGCCCTGAAGATACCCACCCTTTGGGGCTCTATGATGAGCAATTCCTCCTGCTGATCCACCATCCATGCACCCACCCCTCCCTCCACCTCCTCACCCATCCACCCACTTAACCATGCATCTTTTTTCTTTTTTCTTTTTCTTTTCTTTTTTTTGAGATGCAGTCTCACTCTATTGCCCAGGCTGGAGTGCAATGGCCCGATCTCGGCTCACTGCAGCCTCTGCCTCCCAGGTTCAAGTGATTCTCCTGCCTCAGCCTCCCGAGTAGCTGGGATTACAGGTGCGCACCACCACGCCCAGCTAATTTTTGTATTTTTAGTAGAGACGGGGTTTCTCTGTGTTGGCCAGGCTGGTCTCGAGCTCCTGACCTCAGGTAAGCCACCCACCTCAACCTCCCAAAGTGCTGGGATTACAGGTGTGGGCCACCACGCCAGGCCTCTTTTTTCTCCTTTTTTGAGGCAGAGTTTCACTCTGTCACCCAGGCTGGAGTACAGTGGCACAATCTCGGCTCACTGCAACCTCCTGGATTCAAGCAATTCTCCTTTCTCAGCTTCCAGAGTAGCTGGGCTTACAGGTGTGTGCCACCACGCTTGGCTAATTTTTGTATTTTTAGTAGAGACAGGATTTCACCATGTTGGCCAGGCTGGTCTCGAACTCCTGAGCTCCCTCTCCCTGACTCCCCTCTCCCTCCACACCAGTTGCAAGTCTGAGCCTCTGGACTTCAAGTTGGGGATCCCACGACCCCTCTTTGGGTTCAGTTAATTTGTTAGAGTGGCTCACAGAAGTCAGGGAAACATTTGTGTGTACTGGTCTATTATAAAGGATGTTATAAAACATACAGATGAAGAGATGTTTAGGGCGGGTTATGGGGAAGAGATGCAGAGCTTCCCCTCCCACCTGGGAGCACCATCCTTCAGGACAGCCATGTGTTCAGCTATCTCAGAAGCTGCCCAAACCCAATCCCCTGGGGCCTTTTATGGGGACTTTATTATGCCGGCATGATTGACCTCTGTGTAGAACTGTGAATGGGCAAAAAGGATCTGATCTAATATTACTAGACGAAGTGTGGAACCCCCGCAAGGCCCGTCTGTTCAGATTCTTCTTGGCCTCTCTGTGCAGCATTTCTTACTCCAAGGGATGGAGCAGGACCCCTTCTGAAATGAGGGTCTTATGACAAGGTAGGTCAGGGAATTTCTTTTTTTTTTTTTTTTTTTTTTTTGAGATGGAGTTTTGCTCTTGTTGCCCAGGCTGGAGTGCAATGGTGCGATCTCGGCTCACTGCAATCTCTGCCTCCTGGGTTCCAGAAATTCTCCTGCCTCAGCTTCCCGAGCAGCTGGGATTACAAGCATGCACCACTACGCCTGGCTAATTTTATATTTTTAGTAGAGATGGGGTTTCTCCTTGTTGGTCAGGCTGGTTTCGAACTCCCAACCTCAGGTGATCCGCCTGCCTCGGCCTCCCAAAGTGCTGGGATTACAGGCGTGAGCCAACGCGCCCTGCCAGGGAATTTCTTTACGGAAGAATTTCTGTGTTTTTTTTTTTTTTTTGAGATGGAGTCTCATTCTTGTCACCCAGGCTGGAGTGCAATGGCGTGATCTTGGCTCGCTGCAGCCTCCCAGGTTCAAGCGATTCTCCTGCCTCAGCCTCCTGAGTAGCTGGGATTACAGGTGCGCATCACCGCGCCCTGCTAATTATTTTGTATTTTTAGTAAAGACAGGGTTTCGCCATGTTGGCCAGGCTGGTCTCGAACTCCTGACCTCAAGTGATTCGCCCGCCTCAACCTCCCAAAGTGCTGGGACTACAGGTGTGAGCCACTGTGCCTGGCCAGAATTTCTGTTCTAAGAAAGAAAGGCAGGGGGAGATTCCTACCTTGAGGAGAGAAAGGAGCAGGTGAAGGAAGGACAGCCAAAGGTCAGAGATTGATTCTGTTTTCTGAGGCCTGTTCCTGAGGCCTAAAGCACCCCAACATTATAACAAAAGACTAACAAATGCTGTGAGAGTTATGAGTTAGAAACCATGGGCAAAACCTATTTTATGTAATAATAGTATCACAGCACCCATCCATCCATCCGATTGTCCATCCATCCCTCTTTTGAGTTAAAACTGACATGATAAGGAGCTCAATCCAGCCAAGAGCTGAGGAAGAATTCCAGGTGGAAGGAACAGCAAGGACATAAGGCATGAGACTAGAATGAGCCTGGTGAATTCAAGGGATAGAGATGTCAGTGTGGCCAGGGGGCAGGTGGCGTGAGACGGGGCTAAGAGGTGGACCAGACCCGATCGTGTGGGGCTGGTTAGCTGAGAGGGGAGTTTGGATTTCGCTGTAAGTGCAAGGAGAAACCTGGAGGGTTTAAAGCAGGAGAGTGGAATGTTGTCATTTACATCTTACAAAGAACCAGTGGTTGGTGGAAAGACTGTGGGGGCAGGAGTGGAGAAAGGGAGAAAGCTCGGTGGCTTTGGCCCACTCCCTGCTAAGTCTCCAAATTCCTTCCTCCTTCAAGGCCCCACCCTGATTTCAGGTGAGATGGGATGACCCCAGAGCTCCAGGGGACCTGGGTGGTCCTGGAGGGACACTAGCTGGGGATGGGTGGCCAGGCATGGCCAGTGGCTGCTGTGTAGAGAGGGGCCCCGGACCCGGCCATCAAGTTAAACAGGAAGATCCCTGGGCTGGATGAGGCGAGAGCTCTGTGGAAGTCCCCTGAAGGAGGGACGGTCAGCTCATCAGAGCTGCAGGAGCAGGGGACCCCCCCTCAGGCAGCCTAAACATCCTGGAGACCTGATGGTCATATATATAATTTATTTATTTATTTTGGGTCGGAGTCTTGCTCTGTCGCCCAGGCTGGAATGCAATGGCATCATCTCGGCTCACTGCAACCTCCGCCTCCCAGTTTCAAGCAATTCTCCTGCCTCAGCCTCCTGAGTAGCTGGGATTACAGGTGTCAGCCATCGCACCCAGCCCATAGGTTAACTTTTTAAATTAAAATTAAGGCTGGGCACAGTGGCTCACACCTGTAATCCCAGCCCTGTGGGAGGCCGAGGCGGGTAGATCACGAGGTCAGGAGATCGAGACCATCCTGGCTAACACGGTGAAACCCCGTCTCTACTAAAAATACAAAAAAATTAGTCGGGCATGGTGGCGGGCACCTGTAGTCCCAGCCACTTGGGAGGCTGAGGCAGGAGAATGGCGTGAACCCGGGAGGAGGAGCTTGCAGTGAGCCAAGATCGCGCCACTGCACTCCAGCCTGGGTGACAGAGCAAGACTCTGTCTCAAAAATAAAATAAAATAAAATAAAATAAAATAAAATAAAATAAAATTTAAAAAAATTCTCACAACCACCCTGGGACGAAGGTGCTGTTAGCTCCCTTTCACAGATGCAGAAACGAGGCTTGAAGCAACCTGTCATGGCCACTTAGCTTGTAGGTGACAGAGCCGGGACTGGACATTATCTATCTGTTGCTGAAACCTCTGTGTTTCCCACACCCCACCAGTAACTGAGGGTCTTCCCAGTCCCTCTGTGTGCTGCTGGGGAGGGCTCGGCAGAGAGGGAAGCAAGAGTTAAAATGGATATTGCCGGGGTGTTGATCTGTTTGTTCTTTGGGAGGAGGACAGCAGAGGACACAGTAGGGGTCTCAGGGATGTCAGGACCAAAGTCTCCCAATAGCAGGAGCCCCGTGGGAAGCTGTGTGCACCACCAGGCTCAGCAGGCATGATGCCTCAGGCCCATGACACCAAAATGTTTTAATTTCTTTTCTTTCTTTCTTTTTTTTTTGAGATGGACTCTTGCTCTGTTGCACAGGCTGGAGTGCAGTGGCACTATCTCAGCTCACTGCAACCTCCGTCTCCTGGGTTCAAGCGATTCTTCTGTCTTAGCCTCCCGTGTACCTTGGACTCCAGGCGCACGCCACCACACCAGGCTAATTTTTGTATTTTTAGTAGAGATGGGGTTTCACCATATTGGTTGGGCTGGTCTTGAACTCCTGACCTCAGGTGATCCACCTGCCTCGGCCTCCCAAAGTGCTAGGATTACAGGCGTGAGCCACTGCGCCCAGCCTAAAATGTTTTAATTTCTTATACAATCAGAAAAAAATAAACTTTTAGGTTGAAGAGAAAATATATACATATTTTTTGAGACCAAGGTCTTACTCTGTCACCCAGACTGTAGTGCAGTGGTGTGACCATGGCCGACTGCAGCCTTGACCTCCTGGGTTCAAGCGAACCTCCCACCTCAGCCTCTCCCGTAGCTGGGACTACATTTGTGCTCCACCGTGCCAAGCTAATTTAAAAATATCTTTTGTAGCCAGGCGTGGTGTCTCACACCCGTAATCCCAGCACTTTGGGAGGCTGAGGCAGGCGGATCACCTGAGGTCAGGAGTTTGAGACCAGCCTGGCCAACATGGTGAAATGCCGCCTCTACTAAAAATACAAAAATTAGCTGGGCATGGTCGTGGGCGCCTGTAATCCCAGGTACTTGGGAGGCTGAGGCAGGAGAATCACTTGAACCTAGGAGGTGGAGATTGCAGTGAACAGAGATTGTGCCATTACACTCCAGCCTGGGCGACAAGAGCAAGACTCCATCTCAAGAAAAAAAAAAATTCAGTATAGTATTATAGAATGTCTGTGGACATCTATGGACCAAAGATTCTTTAGCCAGGAGGGAGGCCTTCAGGAATATTATTCCGTCTACCAGCCTTCCAATAACAATTGCTTGGCAAGGTATATTAGTTATCTATCACTGCGTAATAAATTAACCCAAAATGTAGGGACTTAAAATAAGAAACACGTTTCTCATGGTTTCTTTGGGGCAGGAATCCAGGTGGGGTTTAGCTGAGAGCCTCTGGCTCCGGGTCTCACAAGGCTGCAGTCAGGGTGTCGGCTGCACAAGTTGTCTCCAGGCTGGCGTGGGGTAAGCTCCAATGTCAAGTTCACTCATGTAGCTGTTGGCAGGTCCTGGTCTTCATTGGTGGTTGGCTGGAGACGTCAGTTCCTTGGCACATGGGCCTCTCCATAGAGCTACTCGCAAGGTGGTTTCATTGCTTCTTCCCCAGGGCAAGAGCAGAGCAGAGGGCGAGAGAGACAGCAGGACAACAGTTTTTTTGTAACCTAACCTTGGAAGTGACATCCCATGACTTTTGCCATATTCTAGTATTCTTTTAGTTAGAAGCAAGTCCTGTGTCCAGTCATGCTCAAGGGAGCTGATTGGGCAAGTGTGTGATTACCAGGAGCTGGGGATCATTGGGGCCATCTCAGAGGCGGCCACCGCACAGAGGGCTCAAGGTCACACTGGAGGTCAAATGCTCTTTTTGCTAAGTGAGGGCAGTGCCACACACTTTGGCAGGCGCCTGAGCAAGGGATTGGTTGCTAGACAGCAAGCTCTGCTACTTTCTAGTTGCGTGAGTCCTGGGATCCCTAATTCCCCACCTGAAAAATGGGGTGAGAACAGAGGTTCCCTTGAGAATGTACTATGAGCTTATAACGATGAGGGCTGAAGAAAGTGGTTTGCAAAGTGCAGAATGCCCTTCAGAAGGTAGCCATTGTTAAGAGGACAAGGTTACAGATGTGAGTATTGGAATTTCTGTTCTTTTTCTTTTTCCTTTGAGACAGGGTCCGTCACTGTCACCCAGGCTGGAGTGCAGTGGCACAATCATGGCTCACTGCAGCCTGGATCTCCAGGGCTCAAGTGATTCTCTTACCTCAGACTCCTGAGTAGCTGGGACTACTGGCATGTGCCACCATGCCTGGCTAATTAAAAAAAATTTTTAGTAGAGATAGGGTCTCACTATGTGGCCCAGGCTGGTCTCGAACTCCTGGACTCAAGCGATCCACCCACCTCAGCTTCCCAAAGTGCTGGGATTACAGGGGTGAGCCACCATGCCCAGCCATTCTTTTTTCTTTTTTTAAATCTTTCATTGGTATAAAATATATACGCAGCAAAGTACGTAAATGATATGCATGGTCATTTTCCCCTGCTTTTGAACATTATTTTAAAACAAGTGAACTTTAAGTTCCTTTTACTGTGTGTACTTTCTGGAACCTCCTATAGTGAGATAATATTATTATTATAATCAGAAAAATGCCACCTTTAAAAGGTATAGTTTCTGTTGATTAGTTTCCAGGGAGAAAGCCTTTTAAAATTCCTTATCTCACTGGGGTTTTACCATGCCTTTGGGAGAAAGGCCGAGAGAGGATTAATTTCCTTGTGGGTGAAAGGAGGAAGTCACTCCTCACTCCGGGCTGGCAGGGGACTGAAGGTGGTGTCCTATGTGGGCACTGGGCAGTGAGCCACCTGCAGACTCCTGGCACCGAGGGCCCTCGGCAAGGCCAGTTCCCCACATCCTGCCCGGAGTGGCCACCGCCAACTCTGATGGAAAACGCTCTGGCTCGCCAAATCCTGAGCTCTAGAAAAGTTCTCCTTCTGGGAATCTGCCCTACATAAGTTGTCACGATGCAGCCAAAGTTTATGTCCAAATAGATTTAATGCAGCAGTATTTTTAATAGCAAAAATGTAGAATTAATGTGAGTGTTCAGCAGAAGGAAATTGGTTAAATAAATTCAGTCGTTGAAAGGTAGACTATTTCGCAGGCATTAAAGTATGGTTCTGAAATATAGATTTGTGGTCTTTAATGTTTCCCAAATGAAGAGAGATAAACAATTGCACAGACAGAGGGGTGTCTATAATGTAAATCTGTGGAGAACCGCCTGGAAGGAAATGTGCCAACAGCGTAAGCCAGTTCCCTCGTGGCGGTGGCATTATGAGTGATTATTTTTCTTTTTATTTAATATCTCTAATTGTCTATAGTAAGCATGCCAGTTACATAAGTAACAGAAGTCAAGAGCAAAGCATTTTCATCCTCCATGTCCCCCACTCAGCCCTCCCACTCCTTCTGCACTTTTATTTATTTTTTATTTTTTTATTTGAGACGGAGCCTCACTCTGTCGCCCAGGCTGGAGTGTAGTGGCGCGATCTTAGCTCCCTGTAACCTCCACCTCCCGGGTTCAAGCGATTCTCCTGCCTCAGCCTCTTGAGCAGCTGTGACTACAGGTGCGACCACGCCCAGCTAATTTTTGTATTTTTAGTAGAGATGGGGTTTCACCATGTTGGCCGGGCTGGTCACAAACTCCTGACTTCAGGTGATCCGCCTGCCTTGGCCTCCCAAAGTGCTGGGATTACAGGCTTAAGCAACCGCGCCCAGCTCTCCTCTGCTTTTGACCATTTGTTGTAAATAGTTTGAAATCTTTTCTTTGAATCCGTGTATTGGTTTTGAAACCTACATGTCCGATCAGATAAATAATATGGGGAGGGAAGAAGAAAACATAATGCTCTCTGACAATGAATCATAACATCATAGAAAATTAGAACCTTAGGCCAGGCGCAATGGCTCACGCCTGTAATCCCAGCACTTTGGGAGGCCAAGGTGGGCAGATCACGAGGTCAGGAGATCGAGACCATCCTGGCTAATACGGTGAAACCTCGTCTCTACTAAAAATACCAAAAAATTAGCCGGGCATGGTGGCGGGTGCCTGTAGTTCCAGCTACTCGGGAGGCTGAGGCAGCAGAATGGTGTGAACCCAGGAGATTGCATTGAGCGGAGATCGTTGCCACTGCACTCCAGCCTGGGTGACAGAGTGAGACTCTGTCTCAAAAAAAAAAAAAAAAGAAAATTAGAAACCTAGACTTTTTTTTTTTTTTGCAAAGCAAATCTCTCTTTTTACAGGCAAGGAAGCTGGGCTAAGTGAGGGAGGCTGGGAGAGCTGTCAAGCGGCTGCATTGCGGTTTGTGTGGGGGCAGAGCTGGGGCTGCTTCCCCTCTCGGGCTCTGGGAGCGCTGAGGAGGGGGAGGCTGGGCTGGAGGGAGGCCAGGAGGATGCTCCGGGCTGGGTGGGGTGGAGCTGGCTGAGGAGTCTTCTGCCTGTTTGTGCTGGGTACTGGGAGATGCAGGCGGGGAGACACAAGGTAGAAGGGGCAAAGTCCTCACCTAGGACCTTGAGGGAGTTAATGTGTAATATTCTAGGATATAAGCTTGACCACGAGTTGAGACCCTGAGCACAGGCCTCCAGGAGCCGCTGGGAGCTGCCGCCAGGAGCTGTCACCATGACGGTGAGGACACTAGCCCCCTGCTGCCTGCCCCACTCTGTTCATCTTTGTCTTTGCCTGGGTGGGGGCTTTTAGGGAAAACCATTGCTGTCCCTCTCTGGGCCTCAGTTTCCCCATCTGTGCAGCAAAGAAGTTGGACAGAGGTCTTTTTTTAAAAAACAGCATCTTGGGCCAGGCGTGGTGGCTCCTGCTTGTAATCCCAGCACTTTGGGAGGCCGAGGCTGGTGGATCATCTGAGGTTGGGAGTTTGAGACCAGCCTGACCAACATGGAGAAACCCCGTCTCTACTAAAAAAATACAAAATTGGCTAGGCCTGGTGGCACATGCCTGTAATCCCAGCTAATGGGGAGGCTGAGGCAGGAGAATCACTTGGACCTGGGAGGCAGAGGTTATGGTGAGCCGAGATTGTGCCATTGCACTCCAGCCTGGGCAACAAGAGTGAGACTCCATCTCAAAACAACAACAACAATACAGCATCTTGCTCTGTCACCAGGTGGAGTGCAGTGGTGGCAATCATAACTCACTACGGACTTGACCTCCTTGGCTTAAATGATCCTCCCACCTCAGCCTCTTGAGTAGCTGGGACCCCAGGCACTCACTACCACACTGGCTAATTTTGTTTGTTTCTTTTCTTTCTCTTTTTTTTTTTTTTTTTGAGATGGAGTCTCGCTCTGTTGCCCAGGCTGGAGTGCAGTGGCCCGATCTCAGCTCACTGCAACCTCTGCTGCCTGGGTTCAAGCAATTCTCTGGTCTCAGCCTCCCAAGTAGCTGGGATTACAGGTATGTGTCACCACACCTGGCTAATTTTTTTTTTTTTGTTGAGATGGAGTTTCTGTTGCCCAGGCTGGAGTGCAATGGCACGATCTCGGCTCACCACAACTTCCACCTCCCAGGTTCAAGCGATTCTCCTGCCTCAGCCTCCTGAGTAGCAGGGATTACAGGCATGGGCCACCACACCCGATTAATTTTGTATTTTTAGTAGAGATGGGGTTTCTCCATGTTGGTCAGGCTGGTCTTGAACTCCTGATCTCAGGTGATCCACCTGCCTTGGCCTCCCAAAGTGCTGGGATTACAGGTGTGAGCCACTGCTCCTGGCCTAATTTTTGTATTTTTAAAGTAGAGACAGGGTTTCACCATGTTGGTCAGGCTGATCTCGAACTCCTGACCTCAGGTGATCCGCCCACCTTGGCCTCCCAAAGTGCTGGGATTACAGGTGTGAGCCACCCCACCCAGCTTATTTCTTATTTTTCGTAGAGATGAGGTCTCACTATGTTGCTCAGGCTGATATCAAACTCCTGGGTTCAAGGGATCCTCCTGCCTTGGCCTCTCGAAGTGCTGAGATTACAGGTGTGAGCCACTGTGCCTGGCCTCCATTGATCTTTATAGAGATAAAAAAAAATCTCAGCTTGGGCAATATAGTGAGACCTTTTCTGCTACAGGTGCATGCCACTACGCTTTGCCTTAAAAAATTAGTGGGGGTAGCGGCACACTCCTCAGCCTTGGGAGGCTGAGGATCACTTGAGCCCAGGAGGTCGAGGCTACAGTGAGCCGTAATTGCACTACTGTACTCCAGCCTGGGCAACAGAGTGAGACCTTGTCTCATATACCCACACACAAAACCCAAGTCTTGGAGAGCAAATTGCCCAAGGCCACAAGCTGCAAATCACAAGGGGTTGAGTGGATTCCCACTGAGGTCTCTGATTCGTTGATTCTACACCAGACTCTGCCACAGCTTTACTGTGTGGCCTTGGCCAAGTCACTGACCGTCTCTGAGCCCCAGTCTTCCTTACATCTGTGGAAGGGGATCACAGGCTGCCTCTTCTGAGGATTAGATGGTGTATTCATTGCCTAGGGCTGCAATAACAAATTACCACCAAATTGTGGGTGGCTTCACACGATAGACGTTTGTTCTGTCTTGGTTTTGGTGACTAGAAACCTGAAACCAAGGTGCTACAGGGCTACGCTCCTGCTGAAGGCGCAAGGGGAGGGTTCTTTCTTGCCTCTTCCAGCTTCTGGTGGCTCCTCGCATTCCTTGGCTTGCATCACTCCAATCTCTGCCTCCAACTTCACGTGGACTCCTCTGTGTGTCTCCGTCTCTGTGTCTATATTTCTCTCCTCTTATGAGAACACTGGTCGTATTGGATTTAGGACCAACCCTAAACCAGTATGACCTCTTAACTCGATTACATATGCAAAGGAACTATTTTTAAATAGGTCACATTGAGGCTGGGCGGGGTGGCTCACCCCTGTAATCCCAGCACTTTGGGAGGCCGAGGCAGGCGGATCACTTGAGATCAGGAGTTCAAGACCAGCCTGGCCAACATGGTGAAACCCTGTCTGTACTGAAAATACAAAAACAAAAAAGAAGAAGAAGAAGAAAAAAAAATTAGACAGATGTTGTGGTGGGCACCCGTAATCCCAGCTACTTGGGAGGCTGAGGCAGGAGAATCGGTTGAACCCGGGAGGCAGAGGTTGCAGTGAGCCGAGATCGAGCCACTGTACTCCAGCCTAGGTGACAGAGTGAGACTTCATCTCAAAAAAAAAAAAAAAGGTCACATTGACAGGTTCCAGGTGGACATGAATTTTCGGGGGACGCTATTCAAGTGCAGGGGGGATGCAGGATGTGAATGTGCCAGGGGTCCTGCGTGGAAGGGTCTATGCCCTCATCACCCTCTGCCTCTCGGGGAGGACTGCTGTGGCCCACGGACTCTCCCCACCTTCTCTTTCCTGGTCATCTCACCTCTGCCTTTTCTTTCCTCTCTCTCCAGCTCCAGAGGCCATATCATCCAAATCCCTTATACGACAGATAAGGGAACCAAGGCCCAGAAAGGGGCTAAGCTGGCCCCAGGCCCCTCTGCCAATTAGGGGCAGAGTCGGCACTAGAGTCTGGGCCCCCAACTCCCCACCCCCCCAGCTCTAGGGACGACCACACCCCCACCCAGTTCTGCCTGTCTCTCTCTGCGCCTTTGACTCTGTTGGGTGGGGACAAGGCTCCCGGGCCTGCACCCTCCCGCAGCTCTCAGCATCCCTATTTGTCCAAGTGCACCCCTGACCCTGGACTTCCGAGTGCTTCTGCCCTGCAGCAGCCCCCACCTCTATCCTTGGGGTTTGAGCTTTGCTGTTTCAGTCAGGCAGCCCCCAGGAGCTGCAAGGGGAGTGTGGGTGCTTCTCTTAGTCCAGGCCCAGCTCCCCTATCCTGGCCTGACTGTTGCAGGGCTCGGGGTGTGGGCACAGGCTGCTGGCAGGAGGCAGGGAGCCATCTCCTGATGCTTGGTGTTAGACGTGTGTGTGCGCAGGGCACACGTCTGTGAGTGTCTGTGTGGCGGGCACACCTGTCTTCTGTTTCTTGTTTGAGCCCCTTTTGGACTGTCCTCACTGGATAACCTCATCTCCCAGAGATAATGGTCTTTGTCAGTGAGAGACTGATTTTTTTTTTTTTTTTTTTTTTTTTGAGACGGAGTCTCGCTCTGTCGCCCAGGCTGGAGTGCAGTGGCGCCATCTTGGCTCACTGCAAGCACCGCCTCCCGGGTTCACGCCATTCTCCTGCCTCAGCCTCCCGAGTAGCTGGGACTACAGGCGCCTGCCACCACGCCCGGCTAATTTTTTGTATTTTTAGTAGAGACAGGGTTTCACCGTGTTAGCCAGGATGATCTCACTCTCCTGACCTCGTGATCCGCCCCCCTCGGCCTCCCAAAGTGCTGGGATTACAGGTGTGAGCCACCGCCCCTGGCCAGCAAGAGACTGATTTTAATCCCGTCTGTCTGGCTCCAAAATCTGGACCCAACCCCGTTGTGTTAAGCAAAGACATGGGGAGTTAGGTGTCCAGCCTCCAAACCCCACTTTCTCTAAAGCAGGGAGGTTTTGCTCCCAGGAGACAACGGACCCTGTCTGGAGACATTCTTGGTTGTCACCGCTCAGGGGAGGGTGTCACTGACATCCAGTGGGTAGAGGCCAGGAATACTGCTCAACATCCTACAACACAAGAGACAGACCCCAACAAAGAAATGCCTGCCCCAAACGTCCAGACGGCCAAGGCTGAGAAGCTCTGGTCTGAGCAGCCTCCTGTCTGACATGCCGCCGTCATGGCCCGCTGTCCTGGGTTAAGCATTGCTGCCTCCTCCAGGCGTCTCTTATAAAATGTACTGCCAGGCCGGGCACAGTGGCTTACACCTGTAATCCCAACACTTTGGGAGGCCGAGGTGGGAGGATCCTTTGAGCTCAGGAGGTCGAGGCTGGCCTGGACAACATAGTGAGACCCCATCTGAAAAAAAAAAAAATCAGCTGGGCCAGGTGGGATGCCTGTGGTCCAGGCTACCTGGGGGGCTGAGGTGGGAGGATTGCTTGAGCCCAAGAGGTCAAGGCTGTAGTGAGCTCTGATCATATCACTGCACTCTAGCCTGGGTGACAGAGCAAGACCTTTAAAAAAAAATGTATTACCGGCTGAGGCAGGAGGACCACTTGAGGGTCAGGAGTTCCAGAGCAGCCTGGGTAACATAGCAAAACCCTATCTCTACAAAAATTTTAAAAATTAGCTGGGCATGGTGGCACACGTCTATAGTCGTAGCTACTTAGGAGGCTGAGGCAGGAGAATCGTTTGAGCTCAGGAGGCTATGAGGCTGCATGCAGTGAGTTATAATCGTGCTACTGCACTCCATCTTGGGTGACAGAGCAAGACCCTGTCTCAAAAAAAAAAAAAAAAGAAAGAAAAGAAAAAAAATGCTGGGTGTGGTATCTCACCCCTATAATCCCAGAACTTTGGGAGGCCCAGAGGGGAGGATCACTTGAGGTCAGGAGTTCGAGACCAACCTGGCCAAAGTGGTGAAACCCCGTCTCTACTAAAAATACAAAGAAAATTAGCTAGATATGGTGGTGGGAGCCTGTAATCTCAGTGACTCGGGAGGCTGAGGCAGGATAATTGCTTGAATCTGGGAAGTGGAGGTTGCAGTGAGCCAAGATTGCACCACTGCACTCCAGCATGGGTGACAGAGTGAGACTCCATCTCAACATCTCAAAAAAAAAAAAAAAAGAACTTACTGCCTGTGGAAGAGTTGAGCAATACCTAACAACCTACCCCTACATGTGACCAACCAGCGGGTCACTTCCTCCTCTGCAGAGAGGAGGCGGCTGCCAGCGAGAGGGCACTGAGGGTCCTCCCATGGCCACTGCCCCCTTGACTTCTGGCAAAGTGCCCCAGTCCAATGAGCTCATTCAGGGCATCTCAGATCATGCTTTTTCTGGAAATAAAAAGTCAGTGAGCAGAACTCCCACAATGTAAAAGTGTCCTCCCATAAGTTGTTCTAAATCTTTGGTGCCTGTTGCGTCCTGGTCAGACCAACCCTCACCCTCTGGTCATAGATGCGAAAACTGGTCTTGGGTAATGAGTTTTTTTTTTTTTTTTTTTTTAGACAGAGTCTTGCTCTGTCGCCTGGCACAATCTCGGCTCACTGCAACCTCCACCTCCTGGGTTCAAGCGATTCTCTTGCCTCAGCCTCCCAAGTAGCTGGGACGACAGGCATGTGCCACCACACCCGGCTAATTTTTGTATTTTTAATAGAGACAGGGTTTCTCCATGTTGGCCAGGCCAGTCTCAAACTCCTGACCTCAGGTGATCCACCCGACTCAGCCTCCCAAAGTGCTGGGATTACAGGCGTGAGCCACCGCTCCCAGCCCTGGGTAATGAGCTTTGAAAACCCAGCTTAGAAATCTTCCCTAGTAACCATCGTGAGGCTAGAGGAGGCTCCTACTGTACAGAAATTCAGGTGCTGCTTTCCTATGGAAAATAAGGAGCAGATGAATCTTAACAACAAGTAATCAAAATGATGGTCATTTGGGCAGACCACTGTCCAGAAAAAAAGAAAAAATTTAAAAAAGAAAATTAAGGCTGGGCTTGGTTCACGCCTGTAATCCCAGCACTTTGGGGAGCTGAGGTGGGCAGATCAATTGAGGCCAGGAGTTTGAGACCAGCCACACCAACATGGTGAAACCTTGTCTCTACTAAAAATGCAAAAATTAGGCATGGTGGTACATGCCTGTAGTCCCAGCTACTCGGGAGGCTGAGGCAGGAGAATCGCTTGAACCTGAGAGGTGGAGGTTGCAGTGAGTCGAGATCGCACCGTTGCACTCCAGCCTGGGCGACAAAGCAAGACTCTGCTCAAAAAAACAAAAAAAAAAACAAAAAAAGAAAAGGAAAGTAAAACAATAAATGATGGTGGTCCTGTGATTTGCTGTTGGTCTACGTGAGGCCCTGTGCATGGGATTTCACAAACATGTTCTTGAATCCTCTCAAAACCAGCTTGAAGGTTGGTGGTGTCTCCCTGGTGTGACAGGGTCTGTCATACAGCTGGCATTCAGCAACAACAACAACAAAAATAGAAATGGGAGTCTCGCTATGTTGCCCAGGCTGGTCTCCAACTCCTGGGCTCAAGTGACCCTCCTGTCTCAGCATCCTGAGTAGCTGGAATACAGGTACACACTTCCACACCCAGGCTATCAACTGTTTTTTAAATGAATAAATCAAATTAGTCAATTTTACAGAAGGGGAAAGTGAGGCTTGGAGAGAGACTTTGATGGACATAGGACTTGCGGAGTTTTATAGATTCTTAGTTTTTGTTCGTTTGTTTGTTTTTGTTTTTGAGACAGAGTCTTGCTCTGTTGCCTAGGCTGGAGTGCAGTGGCGTGATCTTGTCTTACTGCAACCTCTGCCTCCCAGGCTTAAGCCGTTCTCCTGCCTCAGCCTCCCAAGTAGCTGGGACTATAGATGCGTGCCACCACACCTGGCTAATTTTTGCATTTTTAGTAGAGACAGGGTTAAATGTTAGGCAGACTGGTCTTAAACTCCTGACCTCAGGTGATCTGGCTGCCTCGGCCTTCCAAAGTGCTGGGATTACAGGTGTGAGCCACTGTGCCCGGCCTTTTTTTTTTGTTTTTCTTTGAGATGAAAAGTCACTCTTGTCGCCCAGGCTGGAGTGCAATGGTACGATCTCAGCTCATGGCAACCTCCGCTTCCAGAATTCAAGCAATTCTCCCGCCTCAGCCTCCCAAGTAGCTGGGATTACAGGCGCCCGCCACCATGCGCAGATAATTTATTTTATTTTATTTTATTTATTATTATTATTATTATTATTATTATTATTTTTGAGATGGAGTTTCGCTCTGTCGCCCAGGCTGGAGGGCAGTGACGCGATCTCACCTCACTGCAAGCTCCGCCTCCCGGGTTCACACCATTCTCCTGCCTCAGCCTCCCGAGTAGCTGGGACTACAGGCACCTGCCACCACACCCGGCTAACTTTTTGTATTTTTAGTAGAGATGGGGTTTCACCATGTTAGCCAGGATGGTCTCGATCTCCTGACCTCGTGATCCGCCCGCCTCGGCCTCCCAAAAGTGTTGGGATTACAGGTGTGAGCCACCGCGTCCGGCCAATTTTTTTATTTTTAGTAGAGACGAGGTTTCACCATGTTGCCCAGGCTGGTTGCTAACTCCTGACCTCAGGTGATCAGCCCGCCTCGGCCTCCCAAAATGCTGGGATTACAGGCGTGAGCCCCTGCACCTGGCCAGATTTAGTTTTGGGTGGGCCAAGATCTTGTGCCTCTGATACAGTCATTTTCCATATCATATTTTTGTTTCTGGGGTTCTGCTGAGGGCAGCGTGATTTCATCACTTGAACACTTTGCGGAACTGGGCAGGAAGCACTCTGCCCATTTCATAGATGGGCAAACTGAGCCTCCGTCCTGTGCCTCTTCGGGTTGGGGTGGATAAGAGCAAAACAGGGCAGGGAGTGGGGAAGCTCTGGGAGGCCTTGATCAGAGCGCTCTGGCTCTGCCACTTTCCAGCTTGGTGGTCTCCTGCGTCCTCACGTGGGCAGGGGGATTGAGACCTGCAGCTGGGTTGGCATGAGGTGGATGAAGCTGCTGGGCAAGTGTGGGATTGATTTTCTGTGGGGACTCGAGTGGAATGTTTCTCTGTTGGCCCAGGGGGAACTTGAGGTTAAGAACATGGACATGAAGCCGGGGTCAACCCTGAAGATCACAGGCAGCATCGCCGATGGCACTGATGGGTGAGCAAGGTTTCAGGGTTGGGGGAGTCTGCAGGCCCGGAATAGGCAGGGCGGGTGGGGCAGGCAGGGCAGCCCTGTGAAGTGCTCAGGCAAGAGGGACGTCAGGCCAATGGGCCCTTTTTCACACCCTTCTCCCCACACCCCTGCTGGCCCCCACTTCATGTCTGAGGCTAGGTTTGGGGACCTGCAGAATTTCAGAGTTGATGCCATATGCTCTATTCTTTTGCCCCAACAGCCATTGAAGGGGCAGGTGGAGAAGCCCCTGGAACTCTGTCTGGCCCCCTGCGGGGCAGGTGCCTCTAGGGAACGCCCAAATCCCCAGAGACACCACCCTCTTTACCCAGCAGAATGGCCACAGGCTGGCATTTCATGAGCATTAAACCAGGGCAGCCACCAGGGGAGGCTGAGTGGTCTCGCTGGCATCCTCTTGGTTAGAACCAGCGGCCTCACCACCTCCGTGAGTCACAGTCCAGCGAAAGGCTCTCTCGCCTGCAGAACATGTCAGCGCATCTTGGAACTGTGCTTTATCTACTTTTGGTTAGAGAGGGGGCGGGCAGGTGCATGCCATAGGAGCTAAGGGAAAAGTGACTTATTTCTCCTACTTGGGTCCCTCAAGTTTGTCAAAATGTGTGATACCCTTGGTCTGAGACTCCCAAATGAAGACACCCCATGACCCAGAATGCCCCACTTTCAGGAACCCTGCAGGTCTAGCCCAGGCTCCTGTAGTGATCTTGCCAAGAAGTCATACAACCCCGGTTGCACACCCATAGTGACAGGGAGCTCACCACCTTAGGTTGGCTGCTGGTGGCTAAATTTAATAGGTCTTCAGATATCTAAGAGATAGCATTTCTCTCTCCCAGGAGAGCCACCCCCAATTCCCGAAGCTGTCACTATCAGTTACCCTTCTCTCAACAGCGTGATCCCTGCTCCAAATGGAATGTGCTACCACAGTGCTAAGTCTGAGCAGGTTGTTACCTCCCTTGTTTTAAGGCACAGATCTCAACTAACACAAGCTTTGATTCTTCCAGCTTGTGGTCAACCAAGGTCCTCCAACCCAAGCTGCTTTATCCAGGCCTGAGCCCTGAACCTCACCTGCTACCCCTTCTCCTGCAGCTTTGTAATTAATCTGGGCCAGGGGACAGACAAGCTGAACCTGCATTTCAACCCTCGCTTCAGCGAATCCACCATTGTCTGCAACTCATTGGACGGCAGCAACTGGGGGCAAGAACAACGGGAAGATCACCTGTGCTTCAGCCCAGGGTCAGAGGTCAAGGTGAGGTCAAAGGGGGAAAGGGCACTGGGGTGATGTCAAGGGGAGGGCCCAGATGGAAGAGAGCCTGGCCTGGACACAGGTGCTGGCCTTGTTTGAGCCATCAGGCACTGCCCTGGCCCATTTCCAGGGCCTCCTGCCTCCTTGACACCCTCCCTCCCCACAGTTCACAGTGACCTTTGAGAGTGACAAATTCAAGGTGAAGCTGCCAGATGGGCACGAGCTGACTTTTCCCAACAGGCTGGGTCACAGCCACCTGAGCTACCTGAGCGTAAGGGGCGGGTTCAACATGTCCTCTTTCAAGTTAAAAGAATAAAAGACTTCCAGCCGAGATTCTCTGTCCTGGTTCTTCTTCCGAGTCACACCAGGATCAACAGAGCTTGGGTGTGTTCCCCTATCCCTACCTGCAGTTCCTGCCCCAGGGCTAAAAGCAAACAAAATAATCTGTTTTTATCGAGTCTTCCTGTGGCAAGAACTGTGGCTTGTGACTCCTTTCTCTCTTGGGTCCCTCAAGTTTACAAAAACATGGGATACCCCTGGTCTGAGGACCTCTGAATGAAGGCACCCCATGATCCAGAATGTCCTGCTCTCAGGGATCCTGAGGTCCCGTAGTGATCCTGCCTCCTGCCACACATCCTCTGGTTGCATACCTGTAGTGACAGGGAGTGCACCACCTCACGTTAGCTGTTTGTGGCTAAATTTAACCGGTCTTCCGATACCTAAGGAGGGCATTTCTCTTTCCGTGCATTTTAATGCTCCTGGCATTTTCATAATACTGAGGAGGAAACAGATATGAGGACACCCGGCTGCCATGTTGGGAGGCTGAGACATGCTCCCAACAGTCCTACGCACTTGCTTCTGTCTACTTGCCCCCACTATCGCCAGAGCAAATGCCATGCTGCCCTGTGGGATTATGGGGCAGACACGAGTCCCAGGCACCTGGGCCAGGGGCTGTTCCCGGAACTGCAGATAAGGGCTCCCACCTGGGCCTCTTATCTCAGGGGCGTTCCAGCCTGGTTACTCATTACCCTCCCCTTGGCGCGTCCACTTCCCTTCCCTGCTGGGGGCCTTGATGGGGGATCCTTGGCTTTCTAAACTCCCTGGAGGGGAGGGGACTGAAGCAGACAGAGCTGATGCTGTTGTCCCAGGTCCCCAAGCATCTTGCAGGACACCTTTTATCAAAACAGCCTTATTTAATCAGGCCCCAGAGGCAAGTCTGGGGTATACAGGCAGGTGGGATTCCTCCCCGGGAGGTCATACCTGACCTTTCTGGGGTAAGAGGGAGGCTGGGGCGGGGATGTTGGGGAAGCGGCCTGGGAGACGGCTGTCAGGGTTGCAGCAGGGACGCTCTGGGATGAGCTGGGGGCAGGCGGTCCCTTTGGGAGGTGAGACAATGGCCCTGTGTGGTACACTCCCTGCCCCCCACCCCCCACGGGCCGCTTGGTCTGGCACAAAGGACACACTGTGAGGCTGGGTCCTCCAGCTGGTGGGGGTGGCATGGAGTGGGGCCTAAGGAACAGCTATTAGGTCCAGAGTGGCAGTCGGGGGAGGTGGTCAGTTTGGCAGGGCCTCTGGGAGCATAAAAGTCCCAGAGCAAGCCTGGCCTTCCCTGTCCTCCCTCCCATGTCTGTCCTGCAGAGGTGGGGAGGGGTTTAGGGGCAACATGACTTCTCCCCTCTCCGGTCTGGTAGGAACCAGCTGTTAGGTGAGGGGCCGGCTCTGCACCTAGGTGGGGCCCTGGGACCGTGCCCCAGCCCCTCACACCTTGACCTCATCATCCTCCTCAGCATCCGCAAATTCAAAGGTGTTTGCTTGCACTGTGCTGGGCACTGGGGTCCTGCTGCCTGCCTGGGGCGCCCTCCACTCTTCGTCCAGGCTCTCCCAGGAGGCCCGGGCTTGGGGCAGCACCTCCACCCGCTCCTGCCGCGCATCCATCTCTGGGTAGTGGTGGCCGCCATCCCAGCCTGCTCCCCAGTGCCTGCCGAGGGCAGGGCCAGCAGGTCCTCGGGGACCCCCTCCCACTGGGCTGGACTTCACCTCAGCCACTGGGCCCAACCCAGCTGTTACCCCATTGGGACAGTGTCCATGGGGTGTGGAGCTTGCGGCAGGGGCTGGGGGATTTGCAGCAGGACCCGTGGGGGTTGCGGCAGGTGCTGAGGGGTTTGCAGCAGGCGCTGGGGGGTTTGCAGTAGTGGCTGGGGGGTTTGCAGCAGGACCCGTGGGGTTTGCAGTAGGGGCTGGGGGGTTTGCAGCGGGGGCTGGAGTCTCAGCTGCAGGGGCTTCTGGGAGGCTCATGACCCCTAGCAGCTCGCTGAGGAGTGAGGGCCCAAGGTCGAGGTCCAGGCGGAAGGACAAGAGAGAGTCAGAGCGGCGAAGCCCGGGCTCAGAGGGGAAGGAACCATCCCGGTCTCGGTCATGCGGCTTTTCCGAGCGGGGCAGGCGGGAGATGGTGCAGAACCCAGAGTCCAGGCCTAGAAGAGAAATGGGCAGTGGGCTCAGAGCTGGGGTCCCTCACCAGGAATTCAGGAGGGGAGACAGGACCAGTCCTGGCTTGCTGTGTGGCCTCTGGCTAGTCCCTCCCCTCTCTGGCCTCGGTTTCTCCCATCTTTCCAATAGAATACACTCCATGGTCACCTGTGTGATCTTCCTGTCTACCCCGAAAGCTGAAAATCATCATTATCCTCATTTCCATTATGCAGATGGGGAAAGTGAGGCTCAGTTTGGGATGGGGCGAAGGAGCTAGCCCAAGGCCATAGAAGTCTGACGAGGTGGAATCAAGTCTGGAGCTCAAATCTCCTCTCAGTCCCAACTGTGACCTCAGCCATGGCCACCGGCTCCCTGCCATGACGCTGGCCGATGGCTGCAGGTGAACCCATAGCACGTGAGCTGGTTTGTGGACACAGGATGGGACCAGCAATCAGGGTCTGACTGTATAGAAATGAAGGACAGACATGTCCAGCCCCTGCTTCCAGGACTACAGACCTGAGACAGAATCGGGTTTCTGTGGACCAGTCCTCAGTGCGGTTCTGAGCAGCCGCCTGGGGCAGGGGTGTTAGAGCCACTCCCGCAAGGCAGGGAGTGGCCACCAGGTGGCAGCAGGGGCCCATGGTTCTCAGGTGAGCTCTGACCGAACGGCCAAGGTGGCACTTCTGGCTGGGCAGGAAGGCCTGTGGCTTGCGGTTCCTGTGAGTGGTTTCCCAAATTTGTCGAGTTACAGGAAACCAAGTTCAGATAACAACAGCTCCAGTGTCCTGAGCACCTACTAAGTATCAGCCCCCCTGCGCCTCTCCTGGCACTGAATCTTAGCAATGACCCCGAGAGACTCATTATCCAGGCGAGGACTTGAACTTATAGAGGTCAACTGACTTCCTGAAATTCAGGCAGAACTGGATTGGAATCTAGAGCCCAGGCCCTTCACCTCTCCATGATATCATTCCGACATGAGGGGAAGGCTTTGGTTGAAGGGGGCAAGAATGGGTGGGTGACTGGTTCAGCTAAGGCCCAGAGAGGGGGATGTGCTTGCCCAGGTCACACAGCAAGTGAGGGGCAGCTAGAATTCAAACTCCACCTCCTCACTCTCAACCTCAGGTGTTTTGGGGAGTCAGCTTGTTCCCACCACTGCACCCCCTCCCCATCCATGATGTGGGGTCTGGGCCTGACCTCTGTGGTCACTTGGAGCTCACTTGGAGCTTGGAGGAGCCACTGAACCCCTCTGGGCCTCAGCCTCAGCCTCTGAAAAGTGGGCCAAGATGGCCCAGGCCCTCACCGTAGCTGGAGTGGCCGTCCGTGGAGCTGGTGGGGCTGCTGTCGAAGCTGAGCTTGCCAACCACGAGGCTGTCGTAGGCGGCCTGGTTGAGCTGGGGCAGGGAGATGGCGTTCTTGATGATGGGGGAGATGGCCGGTGGAGCCGGGGAGGGTGCAGGGGGAGATGCCATCCTCCGGGGGGGCGCCCCCACCCTCCGCACCAGCTGCAGCTTCTTGGCCAGGAAGCTGCGGGGTGAGCGATGGGTGCTCCCGGAGCTGCCACCGTGGTTGCTGAGGAAGGACGTGTCCCCGAAGACATCCCCGCCACGGCCCACATGCATGGTGTGGCGGAAGTCCCCGAGTGGGTGGCTGATCATGTCTGCAGTCAGCCGCCTCTTTCCCTGTGAACTGGACACCCAGCCCACAGGCGAGAGCTTGCCCAGGCTCATGGTGGCGGCGCCTCTGCCCCCCTGGGGGCCGGGCATCAGCTCTGGCTGCTCACAGCTGCTAGTCCATGCCTACCAGGGGCCGGGGGAGGGAGGTGGGCTGGGCTTGGGATGGCTGCTCAGCTCCTTTGCCCTGGCGGAAGCTGTAAATGGCACTCTCCTAAGGTGAGGTCCCCAAATGCAGAGGCTGTGGGGGGTTCATGGCTCGTCTCTCCCAGGGGCCCGGCTCCCAGCCCCTCAGAAGCAGCTATAGATGTTCAAGCGCAGAGAAAGCACCCCCGAGGTGGTCGGCAACTCTCCTGCCCAGAGGTGGAGACCTGGAAGGAAGACAGAATGGGCGGTGACGGCAGGCCCGCGACAGAGGAGGAAATCCGGGGTCCAAACATTAGCAGCTGAAGAGGATAGATGATCACACCCAACTACACGGATGGAGGCCTCCAACTGACGCGGGGCAGAAGCTAGGCACACGGGGACCCAAGTGAGTCTGTGTATAGAAAGTTCAAGAACACAGCCGGGTGCGGTGGCTCATGCTGGTAATCCCAGCACTTCGGGAGGTTGAGGTGGGTGGCTCACCTGAGGTCAGGAGTTCGAGACCAGCCTGGCCAACATAGAGAAACCCCGTCTCTACTAAAAATACAAAACTTAGCCGGACGTGGTGGTGCGCACCTGTAATCCCAGCTACCCAGGAAGCTGTGGCAGGAGAATCACTTGAACCTTGGAGGCAGAGGTTGCAGTGAGCCAAGATCACATCACGGCACTCCAGCCTCGGCAACAAGAGCAACATTCCGTCTCAAAAAAAAAAAAAAAAAAAAAAAAAAAAACAAGGAAGTTCAGTAACAGGCAAAACCAATTGATGCTATTAGCAATCAGAATGATGGCAGCCTCTGAGCAGGTACTGACTGAATAGGGGACAAATAATTCATTGAGCTATACACTTAAGCCATGTATCAGGAAAAAATAGAAGCACTCATTCACTCATTCTAAGTCTGAGCAACATAATGAGACCTGGTTTTTACAAAAAAATTTTAAAAAAATTAGTTGGGTGTGGTGGTGTATGCCTGTGGTCCTAGCTACTCAGGAGGCTAAGAAGGGAGGATCCTTTGAGCCTAGGAGGTCAAGGCTGCAATGAGCCATGATTGTGTCACTGCACTCCAGTCTGGGAGACAGAGCAAGACCTTGTCTCAAAAAAAAAAAAAAAAAAAAGGAAAAAAAAAAGAAAGCACTTATTCTGCAGGGCCCACTTATGAAGCACTTACTAAGTGCCAAGACCTCACCCGCCTCATCGTTTAAACCCATACAATACTCCTGAGGGGCTGGGCGCGGTGGCTCACGCCTGTATTCCCAGCACTTTGGGAGGCCAAGGCGGGTGGATCACGAGGTCAGGAATTAGAGACCAGCCTGGCCAACATGGTGAAACCCCGTCTCTACCAGAAATACAAAAAATTAGCTGGGCGTAGTGGCGGGCGCCTGTAATCCCAGCTACTCAGGAGCCTGAGGCAGGAGAATTGCTTGAACCCGGGAGGCAGAGGTTGCAGTGAGCCGAGATTGCGCCACTGCACTCCAGCCTGTGCGACAGAGCGAGACTCCGTCTCACAAACAACAACAACAACAAAAACATTACTCCTGAGGGCAGCATGAGATTAGAGAGGGGAAACTGAGGCACAAAGTGACGTAACTTGCCTGAGGCTACGTAGTAAGAAATGGTGAAACAGGCCCCACATCCCAGAGCCCTGGAGCCCCAGGCTACACTGCCTCCTGCTGAGTAACTGAGTAAGTCACCTCCCTTCTCTGTGCATTAAAATCTCTGCCACGCAGCGAAGCCAGGAGGGAGCAGACACCTCACCAAAGCTTTGTGAAGCTGGGTAAACAGCCAGAGCAGAGGTTCCTCTGAACCATCCACCTTCAAGGAGCTTCCTGGAATAAGGATCCTGTGGTCAAAAGTGGCTTTTTCCAGCTGCCTCCTCCATGCGTGAGCATATTCAAGTCTCTGAGAAGGCCCGCAGGAAAAGACTTTATCACAGTTTGTCAAACTGACGTAGGAGCCTTGCTGTCAGGGAGCAAGCTTTGGAAAAAGCTCAGCTGGTGCCAAAAGCTATTTCTTGTGCATCTCTCCTTCCTGATTCCCCACCCCCACCATACACACACACACATCCTCCCCTGCTCCAGCTTCTCTAAGCATCTCTTGTTCTGACCCCTTTCCTTCTAGTGTCATACAAAGTCCAGGCTAGAGCGCACCTGTGATCCTATGCTTTTCCTGTGGCCCACTGAGGGCAAAGCTGGCTAGAGGTCAGATCCACAGAGCTAGTTGAGACTTGAACTCAGAGCCTCTGACTCACATAAGCCCTTGACTGGCTTGTGGAGCCCAGTCTCGCCTCCCGAGATCGGCAATGCACTTGGAGGGTGGGGAGGCCGCCTGGATTTTCCTGCCTTTCTCCCTTGGGCATCTAGCTTGGGCTCTGCACTTAACAAGTGCCAAATCAATGCCAGCTGAATCACAGATCTCCATGATAACCTGCATGCCAAAACATCACCCTGGCCCCTTCTGAGAGTGGGAGGGCAGGCTGGGCTCTGTGTCCTCACAATGTGACCTTGGGCAAGTCACTTACCTACACAGACCTGGGACCTCAGCTGATAAAAGTCAATAATGATCCTTAAGAACACCTATGTCTGCGGCTCAGCCTTCTTCCTTTTTTAAAACCATTGCTGCCACCTCCAAGCATAGAAATCTCAATACTGCCCTTCTAATGTTATTTGAAATTCAAAATAGGTTAAATAACAAGATAAGAACAAAGAAGCCAATAGGACAAAGCTTGCTTTGTTTTCTGACTACATTCTCTTCCCTTCCCACCATCTGATCCTCCCCCAACCCTAACTCCTCCCCCTCGTGGGGGGGAACTTCTGAATCATCTTCTTCCCTCCCTGGCACCCCCGGCACCGAGAAGTCCTCGTGGAATGTTTGCTGAAGTTCTGAAGCGATCCACAGTTGGCCAACCATTACATGATGTCATCTGATTCTCCAACAACCCTGCAAAGCCGCAGCGTGGCCTATTTGACAGGCAGCACTGAGGTTCGGAGGGAAGGGAGACCTGTCCAAGGTTAAGTGACAGGTTCATGGCAGGGCCAAGTTTCCCTGCTCAGCAGGGATTAAGGATGCATCTCTGGGGGAAGGAATGGGAGCGGGAAGGGTGTTCCTCTGTACAATGTCCTGTAGAAGGGTCTGCCATGTGGCCTTACCCACTTGCTCCCACCCCAGCTCCCTGACTTTTTTTTTTTTCTTTTTTGAGGCAGGGTCTCACTCTGTCACCCAGGCTGAGTGCAGTGGCTCCATCACAGCTAACTGCAGCCTCGAACTCCCAGGCTCAAGCGATCCTCCCACCTCAGCCTCCTGAGTAGCTGGGACTACAGGCACATACCACCATGCTCAGCTAAGTTTTTCCACTTTTTGTAAGGACAGGGTCTCACTCCATTGCCCAGGTTGGTCTCAAATTCCTGAACTCAAGCCATCCTGCTGCCTCAGCCTCCCAAAGTGCTGGGATTACAAGTGTGAACCACCACACCTGGCCTCCCTGACTTCTTGAGGCAGCACCTCATCTCCCAGCAAAAGGGGCTCCTCCCCCCTGAACCCCCATGGTCACTTTTGACTTGGGGGACCAGCTTCCTCCCCAATCTTGCGATGATCCCATCTTTCAAATGTTTCTGGGCACCCCCCCAATAGTACCCACCCCTCACACTACCCTGCCTACTGCGGTCGAGAGACTCTGCAGCGCTGTGGAGCTGAGGGCAGGGTATTGGGACCCGGTCTTCCCATGTGGAAAACGGAACAGCACACCAGGCAGTTCCCCTCCCAGGGGAGTTGCAAGGGTAGAAAATGTAATGAAACCCTCAGATACTGGAGCAGGGCAGCCATGGGTTCAAATCTGACACCTTTACACTAACATCTCTCATTCCAGGGACCCCGGTGGCAGCCACGTGGCACTTGCTGCCAACCACAGGGCACTGCTGGCCATCAGGTGTGCCTCACCTGGCACTGGAGTAAGCAGGGCTCCAAGTGTCCTGGTGCCAGGCTCACCTCCCCTCACCTGCTCAGGAACACCGCCCGTTAGTGTTCAGAACACCCCTTTCACAGATGGAAAAAACGAAGCTCAGAAAGGAGACATTTACCCTCAGTCACAGACCAACATTGCTGGTAAATGCCCCAGGGTGGGGGTGAAGACGATGGGGAATGGGGAAGACGATTTGGAGGGCTTGGATGCCCAGTGCTGAGCCCGGTGTGGGGTGCAGGTGCAGGCCTGGGAAGACAGGAGACCCAGCTCTGCAGATTCACTGCCTGTGACCTGGGCAAGGAGGTCACCACACAGCCTCAGTGTCCTTGGAGTCCTTATATTTACCCTATAGAGGATAGTCAGGGCCTGGGCACATGGCCTGAGCTCACTCAATGGTGGGAATGACGCAAGAACAAGTTTTGGAGCCGGGATCGGGCCAACAGGGGTCGCTGTGGAGGCACATGTGGTCGCGGGGAGGCCAAGGGCGGGTCTGAAGGAGAGCGGGGGCGGCTGCACCCTGGCATTCACCTGGGGGTCACCCGCAGGCCGCAGTGCTGGCCAGGGGCCCACGTCTCATCCTGGAGGCCACTGCTCGGGTGCACACAGCCCACTTCCTGCGGGCATCCAGCTGGGTGACGCCCCCCCCCACCGCTGGACAGCGGGTCCCTGTCATGGTTACGGCAGCTCCCCCAAACCTGCTCTGGTCCCTGGAATAAGGGGTTAAACCGGTCGGCTGACTTCTCCTGCTCCTCAAAGTCCAGACGCTTCAAGGTGGAGAGACGGGGAAACTGAGGCCAGAACGGGGTAGCTAGTTGTTCGCAGTCGCGCTAGGGGACCCGGTCCTCCGTATTCCAAGGGGGGCACCGTGGGCCATTAGGGAGCGACGGGGAAAGTGGAAAGGAGACGCGCTTCGTGCCCACCGCCCCGAGTTAGAGCCGAACCAGCCCGGGACCGAGCGAGACGGAGCGGCTGCGGGCCGCGTCTCGGGTCCCCGCGCCACGTTTAGTGCCGCTGCGGCCTCCCGGCCAGTCCCCCCTACTCTCTAAGCCTCAGTTTCCCGGTCTAGGAAAAGGGCTTCGAATGTTGCGGGTCTGGCACTGCTGGGGCAAAGGCAGAACAATCTGGAGGGCGGCCGGGATTGGAAGTCCGGGAAAGACTTCGGCCATCCAACATTCCCTGGGGGGACGGGGCTCAGGACGCGGAGGGTCGCTCCGCGGGGGAAGGGGACGACCGGCTGTCTTGGCCGGAGGGGAACCGGACGGGATGACCTCATCCGCGGCTCCAGCCTGGAATGCGGCGGTCGGGGAGGGGGGCAGGGTGCCTGTCCATCTCCCCGGGCCCCCCACCCCCCACTTCCCGCTCTCCGCGTGGGCCTCGGCGGAGGGGAGACATTCCGCCGCGTCGCCCGCTGCCCGCCCCGGCCCTTCCTTCCCCCGCGCAGGAAGGCGCGGAGACAGCCCCCGCTCTGCCCCTCGGCTCGCCCCCTCCTCGCGCATTTTGGCCGCTCAGCCGTGTCCGATCCTCTGCCCCCTCCACCAGCCTGGAACGGGACACGAAGCCCGAAAGCTCGGAGTTTCCTCGCGCGGCTCCGCGGCCGCGCCCGGCCTTCCTGTGGGCACCCGGGGGCGCCTCTCCCGGGCGGGTCCCGTCCCCGTTCCGGCCCCGGGAGCCTAGTAGGGTGCAGAGTCCCCGCGGGCGCCGGGACCCGCCGGCCTCCACGGCCTCCGCCCCGAGGACCCGCGCGCCCGGGCTGTTACCTGGCTCCGCGAGCCCCGGGGGCGCGGGACGAGGGCGGACTCGTCGTCTGCAGCGGCGGCGGCCGCGCGTCCCGGCTGGCAGCCCGGGAGAGTCGCTGGGCCGGTCTGCGCCGCCCTGGCCGCGGGCTCCGCGGGCTGGATCCGGGGGCGGGGGCGGGGTGTGGGCGCTCCCGCCTCCCGCCCGTCTCCTCCCGCCCGCGGGCGGGGCCCGGCCCCCTCCCCGGCCCCCTCCCCGGCACCGTCCTCGCGGCCGCCGAGAGCTGGCAGGGACGCGGCTGGGGGGCCAGGCCAGGCCTCTGCTCGCCACCCCGGACAAGGCCAGCCGGGGAACGTGCGGGCTGCCCCGGGGAGGCGACTCCGGTCCCCGGCCGCCAACCCCTCTTCCACCGGTTCCCCTCGTGGCCTTGCTTGGGGCGTCCAGGCCTGATGAACTCTCCTCCCTCCTGGGCCCTCCAGCCGCGCCCTGCGGGAGTTCGGGGAACCGGGAAGCTCGATCTGAGGCCTTGAATGCCTGGGCCTTTAAACCTTGATGTTTACAGGCATGACATGCCCACTCCTTTGCTCCCCATTCTCATTCCCTTCCATCCGGTACAGGCCCCGCGGTGCCCAGGAGGAAGACAGCCATACTGGGGCGACTGGTAGAGTGGGGTAGAGTGGCCGTCAAGACCGGGACCCTGGAGCCGGACAGCCTGGGCTCCTGTCCTGCCTCAGTCACTACTTACCTTTCTCTGCCTCAGTTTCCTGATCTGAAAGTGGGATAGATAATAGCAGCATCAGATGTTGTGTGAAGTGTTTCCTGCTCCAAGAGCACCTAGGAGGCTTGCTCGGCAGGTAAATGAAGTCGCATCTCAGAGACTTTACAGACCCTCCCCCCACCCCGCCCACCTCCATGGAGGGCAGGGAATCAGCCATACCCGGGACCCTGTGCCATCCTCAAGGAGGGGAGATAGATCTCTGGCCCCTGCCTCCCGTTGTTGTGCCCTCCTTTGACTACTCCCATCTGACTATAGAGTCCTCGGGCTGTCAGGGCACAGAGAGGTCCCTAATACTTCCTGCAGGGCCTGGGGGCTCAGGAAATCTTCCTAGAGGAGATGATACCTGAGTTAAGTCTCTCTCTCTCTCTTTTTTTTTTTTTTTTTTTTTTTTTTTTTTTTTTTTTTTTTTTTGAGACGGAGTCTCTCTCTGTTGCTCAGGCTGGAGTGCCATGGCATGATCTCAGCTCACTGCAGCTTCCACCTCCCGGGTTCAAGCGATTCTCCCTCCTAAGCCTCCGGACTAGCTGGGATTACAGGCACCCACCCACGCCCGGCTAATTTTTGTATTTTTTAGTAGAGAGGGGGCTTCACCATGTTGGCCAGGCTGGTCTTGAACTCCTTACCTCAGGTGATCCGCCTGCCTTGGCCTCCTCAAGTGCTAGGATTATGGGTGTGAGCCACTGCATGGTTGTGAGTTAAGTCTTAAAGGACGTGTAGGCAGAGGGAAGGGCAGTGGAAATGCACAGTGCACAGCTGGCAAGGGACAGCACAGCAAAGGCTGGGAGTGGAGGACCCTGCAGCGGAGGCAAACCCGGCTGAAGGAGACTGGCTGAGCGCTGTTGTGGCCGGGGATGAGGAGCTGTATTTACCCGCAGGTGGAGGAGACAAGGTCTTTACTGTTCACCCAGGGGCTAGGCCTCTTCCACTGGCTCCCTGAATCCCCATGCTGGCCACCAAGGGAAGGAGCTATTTCTGCAGCTGGACAAATGAGGAAACAGAGGCACAAAGCATTCTAGCATTTGCTCAAGTGGCACAGCAGTAGGAACTCTTTCCCTGGGGGCCGGCCCAGGAGTATTTTGTCCCATGGAGAACTGGAACAGCATCAGGACAGTGAGCCAGCAGGCAGCACTGGCAGGTGTACATTTAGAAGACTGACTGTTGCCCGGCGTGGTTGCTCACGCCTGTAATCCCAGCACTTTGGGAGGCTGAGGTGGGCAGATTACTTGAGGCTGGGAGTTTGAGACCAGCCTGACCAATATGGTAAAACTCCGTCTCAACTAAAAATACAAAAATTAGCCAGGCGTGGTGGCGGGTGCCTGTAATCCCAGCTACTCGGGAGGCTGAGGCAGGGAGAATTGCTTGAACCTGGGAAGCGGAGGTTGCAGTGAGCTGAGATCGCACCACGGCACTCCAGCCTGGTCAACAGAGCGAGACTCCATCTTAAAAAATAAAAATAAAAAAGTGCCGGGCGCGGTGGCTCACACTTGTAATCCCAGCACTTTGGGAGGCCGAGGCGAGCAGATCACTTGAGGTCAGGAGTTCGTGACCAGCTTGGCCAACATGGTGAAATCCTGTCTCTACTAAAAATACCAAAAATTAGCCGGGCATAGTGGTGGGCGCCTGTAATCCCAGCTATTCAGGAGGCAGAGGCAGGAGAATTGCTTGAATCTGGGAGACGGAGGTTACAGTGAGCTGAGATCGTGCTACTGCACTCCAGCCTGGGCGACAGAGCGAGACCCCATCTCAAAAAAACAAAAAACAAAATAGAAATCTGACTGTGAGTGAAGAATGGACTGGAAGGACAGTGATGGAAACAAAGAACTAGTGCTACTGTGGTTATTACTATTAATAGCATCAGTAGTAACCAGCACTTATTGAGCACCTGATGCATACCAGGTCCTGTAGCTCATTAACATGCATTATGACATTTAATTCTTGTGAGAGCCCCATAGGGAAAGTCCTGCCATGGTGTCCCTTTTGCAGATAAGTGAAGTGATTTGCGTAAAGCTCCCTACTTTGGCAGGATGGCCATACTTTCCAGTTTGCCTAGGACAGCCCAGATTACACATACTGTTCCAGTGTAATTATTAATAGCACTTCCTTTCATTCTCAAAGGTGACCTGGTTAGACAATCAATTACACGTCACTCTAGTCAGAGGATCCCTAGAGCGGCTGGTAAAGGAGGCAGTCTGGTGCAATGTCAAAGGCCCTGAGCTCAAATCCTGGCCCAGTGGCTGACCGTGGGCAAAGCACTTGGCCCATTTGAGCCTCAAGTTTCTCATCTCTGAAATGGGTATAATAGCAGTGTGGGTATTTACTAGTTGGGGTGTTGTGAGCCCCAGGCAGATGACTGAGCAAGCAGTCCTGATGGAAGTGGTTACAACCTGCCCCATGCTTGCTCCATCTTCTTCACCCGCGGGCAGGGAGGGCAGGCAGGAAAGAACAAGAGGTTGAGAACCTCCCTACTATATATGCCACACGCTTTGTCTTCTCCAGCTCATTGACAGGCAACCTGTGAATCAGGAATTCTTGCCCCCTTTTACATCTGGGTAAGCTGAGGCAGAGAGGAGCCCTCTCCCTCCTTTGCAGCCTGCCTCCAGATAGAAACCTATCTCCATGTAGGCTGTGCCCTTGTTCCTGGCTCCACTCCTGATTTAAGGATCTGACTCAGTTTTTCCCTCTGGAAAACGGGAGAAAGGGAGAAGTTTCAATATCCCCAAGAAGGATCCAGGGTTGGGCAGTCTCCCTTTATCATGCTTTTCTCCTCCCCCAATTTCCTGCGGTCCCCTTCCTTCCCTTTGAGAGGCTGTGCCCAGGAGTGCAGGGGTTAACCTTGGCAGGGCTGTAATCATCGTGCAGAATGCAGAACAAATGCCTCCCAGCTGGGGACGGGGAGCTGCTAGGTGAACCAACCGCCCAGAGCTCAGGATCCCCTACCTCCCTGTCTTGAAGGAACCAGGCTCCTCAGGCTATAGTCCCAGGGCTCAGCTGCCCCCTCCACTCAGCCCAGCAGATTGGGTTGGCCAAGGCAAGGGGCCTAAGGGAAGGAGGCAGGTCCTGGGCAGGGAGCAGTCTATGGAGCCAGGGAGGAGGGGGCAGGGCAGAGCTACGGAGAAGTATTTCCTCCTTGGGGACCCAGGAATGCCAGTGGCTGCTTCCAGGTTCCAGGGAGGTTTGGGATGGGAGCCTTCAACTGAGGCCACAACTATCAGCCCCTCCCTAGGGTGCATGTCCCCTTTGTACCCCAAAGTCTGGCTGGGCTTTTGGTCAGTTAATGCATCTGCTCATTGACCACTGATTGGTCTTTCCCGTTCTCCAGCTCTTGAGTGTCCACTGGTCCATCCATCTGTCGATGCGATCGCTAATTCATCCATCTACCCACTGCCCACTCCCCTGTCCATCCATCTGCCCTCCCTTCCATGCACCCATTTACCCACCTACTTCCTGTCCATGTCTTGATCTGCTACTCACATACATCCAATCACTCAACCACTTACTTACCCACCCTTCCATTGACCCATTGCCTATCCCCCATTCATCCATCCATCCACTTATGCACCCATCCAGCCGCCTACACACCCATGCATCCTTCCACCCCATCATCCATTTACCTACCTGTACACCCACCCACCCACTCTACCCAGCATTGTTTGATCCACTGCCCACACCCGTGGCCATCTACTCACCCACCTGTCCATCTACTCCTTCCACTTCCATCCTGTAATGCCCTTACACTGACTCACGCCTGGTCTCTGCTGACCAGTATGGGTGTCTGAGCACGTCCCCATCTTTCTCACACACATGCACTTCACTCACCTCATCAGCAGGTTACCTGGAGGCAAAATACCCTTGAAGACTGCTTTTTTTTTTTTTTTTTTTTTTTGAGACAGAGTCTTGCTCTGTCACCCAGGTTGGAGTGCAATGGCGTGATCTCGGCTCACTGCAACCTCTGCCTCCTGGGTTCAGGCAATTCTCTTGCCTCAGCCTCCTGAGTAGCTGAGATTACAGGCATCCACCACCATGCCCAGCTATTTTTTTTTTTTGTATTTTTAGTAGAGATGGGATTTCGCCATGTGGGCCAGGCTGGTCTCTAACTCCTGACCTCAGGTGATCCACCCGCCTTGGCCTCCCAAAGTGCTGGGATTACAGGCGTGAGCCACTGCGCCCGGCTGAAGACTGCTTTGAAATGTCACCTTCTTCTGGAAGAACTCCTTCAAAATGAGCCTCCCCACTGCATCCGGTCCATCCTCCATGTTGGTATCTATTTCCTGCTGAGATCGCTGATGAGAGAGTGATGTCTGTGCACGCTCTGTGCTCCTGGCACACTGGGAAATGAATGATCAGGACCAACATAGGAATTCTTGTTCATCGTTCCTTGACTGAGCCAAATGAGAGCAGGTACTCTCCTCCTGGGACCAATCCAGGGATACTCACTGGCTAGACCCCTGCAGGGGCTCAGGCACACCTGGGCACTGCAGGGGAAGGGGGCAGCTTTGGACTCTTCAAGAGGTTTGTGCTGTGACCTAGTTCTCCAGAGGTGACCTCACACCTAGGGGAGACTGGCAATGGGCCAAGGAGGCTGACCCCCATGCTCTCCCCAGTGTGCATTCCCAAGTCAGACAACCCTGAGTGCAAATCAGGACTTTGTCTCTCACTAGCAGAGTGACCTTGGATAAGTCAGTCCCCAGCATTGGTCTCAGCTCCATTATCTGTAATAAGCCATAAAGTTCATTGCCTGACCTGTAGTTATGGTCAAGGAAGGGTAGCTGTTATTATGACTTTTTTTTTCTTTTTTCTTTCCTTTTCTTTTCTTTTTTTTTTTTTTTTTTTGTTTTCGAGATCAAGTCTTGCTCTGTCACCCAGGCTGGAGTGAAATGGCACCATCTTGGCTCACTGCAACCTGTGCCTCCTGGGTTCAAGCGATTCTCCTGCCTCAGCCTCCCGAGAAGCTGGGATTATAGGAGTCCGCAACCACGCCCAGCTAATTTTTGTATTTTTAGTAGAGACGAGGTTTCGCTATGTTGGCCAGGCTAGTCTTGAATTCCTGACCTCAGGTGATCTGCCCGCCTTGGCTCCCAAAATGCTGGGATTACAGGTGTGAGCCACTGTGCCCGACCATTTTTTTTTTTTTTTTTTTTTGAGATGGAGTCTTGCTCTGTCACCCAGGCTGGAATGCAGTGGTGGTGATGTCGGTTCACTGCAACCTCTGCCTCCCAGGTTCAAGCTATTCTTGTGCCTCAGCCTCCCAAGTAGCTGGGATTACAGATGCCCACCACCACACCTGGCTAATCTTTGTATTTTTAGTAGACACGGGGTTTTGCCATGTTGGCCAGGCTGGTCTCGAACTCCTGGGCTCAAGCGATCCACCCGCCTCAGGCTCCCAAAGTGTTGGGATTACAGGCGTGAGCCACCGCGCCCGGCCTATTATGACTTTATCATTTTTCCTTTACCAGTAGGCAGTTTCCGTGAACACGTGGTAAATGGGTAGTTGCTGCAGCAGAGCCCTGGGCTGAGCACCTTGTGAGGGGGCAGCGGTAAGGAACGTGGGCCATACTTTCAAGATACTTAGAGTCTGCTGGGGAAGACAGAGGCCAGGAGACTGGTAGTGATGAAAGGTCAAAGCAGCGGTTGAAGGGACCAGGGAGGCAGAAGACCGACTGAGGAGGGCCAGGGAGCCTTCCTGGAGAAGGTGGCACTTGAGTTGGGCATTCTGTCTCGGGGTAAGATTGTCTGTAGGTGAAGTTGGGGAGAGAACAGGCTTCAGCAGAGAGGTGGAGGTGGGAATGGGTACACCTGAGTTCATGATCTGGTTCTGGAAGGCTAGAAGTTAAGTTGGGTCTACTGTGGAGGACGCAGGCAGAGGCACTGAATGCCGCACACGGGGAGGGTAGTGTCGGGTGCTAGGCTGGGCCACTGCCCCACTCAGTGATGGCGGCCCTCGGGGATCACAGACCCGGGGGTGACTCAGGATCCTTGATGGGGCTTCCTCATTAGCAGAGGCTGGGGGCAACCCTGCCTAATGCTGTTTTTTTGTTTTGCTTTTTTTTTCGCCTTGTGGCCCTTGATGACAGGAATGTGTTCTGAAAGAGCCAGGAGATGGAGACCCTCCTGGAAGGACCCTTCGGCTCTCTGGTTCCTTCCTCTGACTCCAGATCCCCACGAGTTAACACTTGGTGGGGTGAGAGGGGGCGGTTTCAGGGTTCTCAGAAGACTCCTGGGTGCTAGGCGCAGTGGCTCACGCCTGTAATCCCAGCACTTTGGGAGACCGAGGCCAGCAGATCGCTTGAGGTCAGGAGTTTGAGACCAGCCTGGCCAATGTGGCAAAACCCCGTCTCTACTAAACATACAAAAATTAGCTGGGTGTGGTGGCACACGCCCGTAATCTCAGCTACTGGGGAGGCTGAGGCATAGGAATCGCTTGAACCTGGCAGGCGGAGGTTGCAGTGAGCTGAGATGTGCCACTGAACTCCAGCCTGGGTGACTGAAAAAAATAAAAATAAAAAAATAAGGCTTCTGAGGCCACTGAGGCCCAGAGAGAATAGACTTGTCGGGGTTGCATGCGAGTGTGCAGTGGAGTCCTGGGCTGCCACACACTCCATGGCTGGCTTCAGTGTGGGTGAGCATCTGCTGAGTGTATGCCATCTCTCAGACTAACAGGGTGAAACAGGCTCACAGACAGGTAAGGCTCAGCACCGACTTGGCAGGGCTTCCAGGAAGACTGCCTGGAGGAGGTAGGATGAGCGAGGCTCTATAGATGTATGAGGCTGTGTGCAAACAGTGAGAGCCAGGCTGGAAACTCTAAGTGTGTGTGTCTGACTCGGGTATATGCGGCCAAGGTGTGTCAGCTGCAGTGATGGCTGAGATGTGCGGGAGTCAGGGCCTGGCCTGAGGCTAGGGAGTAGCCTGGGTGCCGGGTGATGGCAGATGCATCCCTATCTGTGTCACCCAGCTGCTCTTCGTCCCTATCTGTGTCACCCAGCTGCTCCTCGAGGTGATGTCTGGGTGCAAAAGGATTCTTGGGAGCAGTAGGGTCAGGATGGGAGTTAATCCCAGGGGCATTTTGGAGGGCGTGGCTGTGAGGCCCACGGGGAGGGCACGTCTCCAGGAGACAGCTGTCAGAGCCGGAAACGCCTCTGGAATTCCAGGCTCTGGGAAAAGGGCTGGCCTGTGGAAGAGCTTTCTCAGGCGGAGCCTTCCAGGCCGACCCAGCTCTGGTTTCTTGTTCACTGATCCGCAGGGAAATGGGGGTGGGGAGGCCCCCCCAACCCCTCTGGCTCCCTTTCTCCTGGAGAGCAAGAAGTTGGAGGGGGGTTGAGGAAGGATGTGGGGTCAGTTCCTCCAGCCCCACCCCTGAGGAGGACAGACAGATGGATGGACTGAAGGCGGAGTGGGGGTCCGCGGTGGCTGCAGTTGGAGGGGGCGGGAGGGGCAGCAGAAGGGGTCAGGGCCAGGTGACCCTGTTGTCCCTGGGTGATAGAAATGTGCTCTCCAGACCTGGGCCAGGTGGTTCGGGGCCTGGATGGAAGGGTGGTGGGGAGGGGTCCTCCAGGAGACCTTTGTTCTCACTGTGAGGTGGGTGGGGTGGAGAGAGGAGGGGCATGGAGGGGGGACAGGAAAAGTATTTGAGGAGCAGAAACAATGGCCTATTCTCTGTGGCCCACCCTGGCCTAAGAGATAGGCCCTTGGGCTGCAGGCCAGTCCTGCTTTGCCCTGACCATCTCCTGCATGGCCTCCTCCAGCCTGGCCCAGCCCTGGGGGCTTCACGTGGCCCTGCCTGGGTGGGCTGTGGGGGCGCCTTCCTCACCCCCATGGCCACGCGCTCATTCCTGGACACGTGGATCTCTCTGTTTTCTTCTAACAAAAGCCCGTCCACTTTGGTTAATGAAGCACTTCCATGTTCATGATCTCCTTTGTGTGGCAGAGACAGAAATGGACAAGGGAACACACCTTTTGCCCATGGCACCTGCCTGTTCATCAAAGAGCTGGGAGTCGGACCTGGCGCTCCTGGCTCTAGGTCCTGGGTTCACCCAGCAACCTCCTATGCCCCAAACCTGCTTCCTAGCTCCTGGTTTCCTCCTCTCTTTCCTGGATTGATGATAAGAAGAAGAGCAGAAGCAGGAGGAGCATTAACTGAGCATCTCCTGATTGCCAGACACAGCTCAGAGCTTGAAGTTCCACTTATATTTGCTCTGATCCTCACAACGCCATTGTGCAGATGAGGAAACTGAGGCCAAGGAGGTGAAGTAACGTCTCATGGCTTGGAAATGGTCACGCTGGATTTGAGTCCAGGTCTGTCGCCTCTCAGTGGCCTGCTGCCTTGAGGGCAAAGGCTCTGGGACCACGCTCAGAGGGACCATGATCTCCTCCGGTCTCCAGGGGTGAGGAGGAACCTCACGTCCTGTATACACATCCTTCTGGGGCAGGAATTGTTCAGAAGCAACCCTGACTGATGGCTGTTGCCTCTACTTACATCCCTTTGGTGACTGGAAGCTCACCACTCCCCCAAGAGGACAGCTCTGCCAGCCAAGAATTTCTCCCTGAAATGGAGCAGAAATCAACTCGTCATAACCTCTGCTCACTGCTCCTCTTTCCACCTCTGAGAACAGAGAGTTCCCCAGATGCTTCCCTTTGCAGAAAGTCAGAAGAAGACCTGGCTCCAAGTAGTACCAGTTGTGGATCTTGGGCAAGTTCTTTAGCCTCCCCGTGCCTCAGTTTTCTCATCTGTCAAGTGGGAGTAACAATGCCTATGATGGGCCGGGCGTGGTGGCTCACGCCTGTAATCCCACCACTTTGGGAGGGCGAGGTAGGCAGATCACGAGGTCAAGAGATTGAGACCAGCCTGGCCAACATAGTGAAACCGCGTCTCTACTAAAAATACAAAAATTAGCCAGGTGAGGTGGTGCATGCCTGTATTCCCAGCTACTCAGGAGGCTGAGGCAGGAGAATCACTTGAACCCGGGAGGCAGAGAGAGATCTCAGCTCTTCAGTGAGCTGAGATCGCGTCACTGCACTCCAGCTTGGTGACAGAGTGAGACTGTGTCTCAAAAAAAACCAAAAAACACCCAAAAACAAACAAACAAACAATGCCTGTGATCAAACATGTCTGCGAAAGGAGCTTTAGAAACACAGGTTGCGGGTGTGTCATAATCATTGCAGAGGCTCAAACTCCTTGTACTTTTCTCATTTGTTTCATGGACTTAACTTTCACATCACAGCAAACACTCATGAAGCACCAGTTCAGCACCTGGCAGCAGGGCACAGCCACTGCCTTTGTGGTTTTTTTTTTGGAGACAGAGTCTCACTCTGTAGCCTAAGCCAGAGTGCAGTGGTGCACTCTTGGCTCACTGCAACCTCCGCCTCCCAGGTTCAAGAGATTCTGGTGCCTCAGCCTCCGGAGTAGCTGGGACTACAGGTGCGCACCACCACACCTGGCTAATTTTTTGTATTTTAGTAGACATGGAGTTTCACCATGTTGCCCAGGGTGGTCTCAAACTCCTGAGCTCAGGTGATCTGCCCGCCTCGGACTCCCAAAGTGCTGGGATTATAGGCGTTAGCCACGGCGCCCGGCCCAGCCACTGCCTTTGAACTCAGAAATTCACACTCCCAGGCTGCAGAGAGGGGACGCGATGGTTTAGGGTTTTATGTGCAGAGTCATCTTTATGAATTCATAAAGACTCTGACAACATCCTCATGGGCAAGTGGAGGATCTCACAGGCAAGAAAACTGCCCAGAGAGGTGAAGCGACCTACCTGAAGTCCCACACCACCGTTCCAAAGGAGATTGACAGTGGATTCTCACCAGGCCATTCCTCGATTGGGTCTGCAGGGGTTAACCAGGCTGGCTGGCGCCTACCAAGCAGGAGGGGGGATCTCGCAGAGAGTGAGAGTTGGAGAATAGGCAGCCCCCTCTGGGTCTCTGACTCCCCCTCAGTGGGCAGCTTGAGCCCCTGCCAGCCTCTTGTTGACTCAGCCGGCCTCACTTCTGCCAAGGCCTGCTGGCCAGAGCTCCCACGGGGAGGGTCAGGCCACATTCTTCTCTGGCTGGAGCCTGAGGGGTGGCTGGCACCTCCTGGTGGAGTCTGTGTGCTGGAAAGAAGCTCATCTGGTTTGTGGGTGCTGGGACAGATGCTGGGGTGAAGCAGGAAATGTTTTTTGGGGGGAGTCAAGGATGGCTTCCCAAGGGACCACCTCAGAGCAAATGGATTAGCCTGGGAACTGGGCTACTTGGTTGCACGGCTCAGCTTGGTCTTTTTTTTTTTTTTTTTTTTTTTTTTTTTGAGACAGGGTCTTGCTCTGTCGCCCAGGCTGGAGTACAGTGGCATGAATATGGCTTACTGCAGCCTCGACCTCCTGGGCTCAAGCGATCCTCCCGCCTCAGCTTCCTGAGTAGCTAGGACCACAGATGCATACCACCATGCTCAGCTCGGCTAATTTTTTAAATTATTGTAGAGACATGGGCTTGCTATGTTGCCCAGGCTGGTCTCGAACTCCTGGGCTTAAGTGATCCTCCCATCTCAGCCTCCCAAAGTGTTGGGATTACAGGCATGAGCCACTACACCTGGCCAGCTTTGCCATGAATGAGCTGGGTGATCTTAGTGAGACACCCCCACCATCCTGCACCCCACCTCAGTTTCCCCATCCATCAAATGGGTATATGTGATAATATACCCTGCCTGCCTTACTCCACAGCTGTTGGGAGGATCAAAGGCAAAAACGAGTTGGGCCGGAGTGAACTCCCTTTGTAGGGCAAAGGCCCACACATGCTGGCTGGCCAGCCTGGCATTCTCTAGGGGAGCAAGTGAAGGGAAGGGGAGTTCAGGGGCAGCTCTTAGCTGTGGTGTGATCTGCCTGACATCCCTGCCTCCTCCCCGCTTGACATAGTGACACTGACAATAATAGTACCTCCTGGCCGGGCGCGGTGGCTCACACCTGTAATCCCAGCACTTTGGGAGGCCGAGGTGGGCGGATCACAAAGTCAGGAGTTAGAGACCAGCCTGGCCAACATGGTGAAACCCCGTCTTTACTAAAAATACAAAAGTTAGTTGGGCGTGGTGGTGCTTACCTGTAATCCCAGCTACTCTGAAGGCTGTGACAGAAGAATTGCTTGAACCTGGGAGGCAGAGGTTGCAGTGAGCTGAGATTGCACCACTGCACTCCAGCCTGGGCGACAGAGCGAGATTCCGTCTCAAAAAAAAAAAACAAACAAATAATAATAGGCTGGGTGTGGTGGCTCACGCCTGTAATCCCAGCACTTTAGGAGGCCGAGGTGGGTGGATTACAAGGTCAGGAGATCGAGACCATCCTGGCTAACATGGTAAAACCCCGTTTCTACTAAAAAAATACAAAAAAGTTAGCCGGGCGTGGTGGCAGGTGCCTGTAATCCCAGCTACTCAGGAGGCTGAGGCAGGAGAATGGCGTGAAACCGAGAGGCGTTGCTTGCAGCTGAGATTGCGCCACTGCACTCCAGCCTGGGCGACAGAGTGAGATTCCTTCTCAAAAAAACAAATAATAATAATAATAATAGCACCTCCTGCCAGGCGCACAGCCCTCAAGGGTTTACAAAGTCCTTTCATTTCTATACCTGTCACCTGCTGCCTCAGGGCCCTGGCAGAGAATACTCTTTCTTCTGCAGAGAATACTCTTTTCCCAGATAAGTGAGAGGCTGTTTTCTGCTCGGCTCAAACGTCCCCTCCTCAGGGGCCTACGGGACCAGGGATCTAAACTAAGTTCTTGGCTGGGCGTGGTGGCTCATGCCTGTAATCCCAACACTTTGGGAGGCTGAGGTGGGCAGATCGCCTGAGGTCAGGAGTTCGAGACCAGGCTGGCCCACATGGTGAAACCCTGTCTCTACTAAAAACACAAAAATCAGCCGGGTGTGGTGGTGTGTGCCTGTAATCCCAGCTACTCGGGAGGCTGAGGCAGGAGAATCACTTGAACCCGGGAGGTGGAGGTTGCGGTAGCCGAAATTATGCCATTGCCTCCAGCCTGGGCAGAAAAAGCGAAAACTCTGTCTCAAAAAACCAAAACACATAAATTAAGTTCTCTCCCACCCCTGCCCCCCAGCACCCTCCCTTCCGTGCTGCTGCTCTGTGCCTCTGGTGACTGCCATGACCTTGTTCAGGGGACCACCTTCCCCCATGACATTAACCTCCGTGAGGGCAGGGATGGTGACTGCGTTGCTCATCGCTGTGTCTAGTGACAGACAGCAGCCTTCCATGGTAGCTGTGATTGTTTTCCTTTGTAGAGAAGCTTAGAGAGACCAAATGCCTTGCCCAAGTCCACACAGCTGGGAAGGGATGGAGCCAGGACTGGGGCCCAGAGGCCTCTTAGATTCCAGTCCGTGGCTCTTTCAAGAAATGCCCACAACTGCGATGCCTGTTTCCTCTGCAGGCCCTGACTCCCTGGAAAAGAGAAAGCATGTCTCACCCCTTTGTCACCCCACGAGGTCCAGCTCGCGCCTCCTCCTTACACACAGTAGGTGCTGTGCCCGTATTTGTTTGGAAGATGTGGGAGGAACAAGCTACTATATTCAACATGCAAAGCCTGCTTGCCACCCTTGTGGGCCTCTGTCCCTTCACCAGGGACTAAGGACTAATGCCTCGGGCCCAGGGTGGGGGCATTCCAGGGGCCTCCTCACCCTGCTCAGGCAGGCCGGCTGGGCCAGCAGCTGTGGGGTGGCCAGATGCCCCACCCCTGGCGCCTTTAGGCCCTGAGCCCAGGCCGCAGGCTGAGCTGTTGGCTGGCACTGCTCCTTAGTCTTGGGGCAGGAACACCGCAGGGATTTTAAAAATAAAGGGCCTTGAGACAGTGGCCTGGCCCAGGCAGCCACAGGGCGGGGCGGGGGCCAGACAGGGACGGTGGGGGAATGCTGAGCCCGCAGCGGGCTGCAAGGCCGGGGTGGCCTCATTTTCTTCTCCAGAAACACTGCTCTCTTCCAAGAACGCCTCCTCCCGGCCTACTCTAAACATGGATCTCAAATATTTCCTGAGCACCTACTATGTGCCAGGCCTTGGTGGCAGTGGGGTGAATCCTCCACTCTTCCCGGCAACTGTATGGCTCTCCTCAGAGGGGCCCCTCCCTTCTTACCCAACCTCAGGCCACAGACTATTGACCACCTACTGTGTGCCAGGCAGCTCTGGCCTTTCACTCCTTGGCTCTTTCCCCTTCTGCTCTCACTCCCTGAGGCACCTCCCCTGTCCAGCCCATTTCAGTCCCCTTCTTTCTCCTCTGGCTCAGCTAACAGGAAACGCAGCCGGGGAGGTCAAGAGCCCCCGGCCTCCAGAGCGCAGCGTCTGGACACACAGGGCCTGTCTACATGGTGCGGTGGGGAAAGGGGGGCTTCCTGTTTACGACAATCACAAGTACCCTTGGGTGGTGCTTGGACAGGCCTCCAGGGCAGCCCCTCTAGTGTAGATCTAATCCCTCCCTAGGAGGGGCCCCCGAGTACCCCCACAGGCCCCAGGCAGCTAGCTCAGACCCTGGCCACTAACACCCGCGCCCCCGCCCGCAACACGGGATGGGTAGAGAAGGGAGGAGGAGCGAGGAGTCTTGGGAACAGCCTGGAATGTGGGAGTTGAAGGTCCGCAGGAAGCATCCCGGGCTCCAGGCCCCACTCCAAGTCTGGGTGCCCCGCCCCAGTCCTCTCCTCCCATCCCGGGGCCTCCCCAGCTCTGATGGGGGCGGGGCTGAGGGAGCCAGGAAGGAGGAGACCAGATTCCTTCCCGTCCCGCTGGGGCCGGAGGCTTCAGCTCTGGCTTGACCAGGCTCTGGCGGCCTCAGTCTCTCCATCCCTAGGGCAGGGCGTTGAGCCAGCTCCCGGGTCAGCCCCCATCTGCTGCTGCCTCCCTCTTTTTCCCCCCGCTGCCTGCACAATCCCAGAGGAGGGGTGAGGACGTCAAGAGGCTGAGACCGGCAGGGGAGACCTCCACGGAGGGGTGGGGCTGGCCAAAGGTGCCCCTGGGGAAGCAAACAACCCTGCCTACCTCCCCCTCCAGGCAGCCCCAGCCGATCGATCCTGTAGTTGCCCAATGGGTATTGACCGAGGGCCTGAGGGTCAGGGTCGCTGGTCCAGAAGAGGCCGGGCAGAGGGAGGCCTGCCCCATCCCCCACACGCTCCCTCACCTAACCCAAAAGGAGGTAGGTGACCCCTGTCCTCGTCTCCCCTCCCGGACCCCAGCCCCTTAGGGCACAACATGGTTGATGCTTGGGGCAGTCATCCCCCAGAGGCCGTGGGGGCACATTGGAGCTAGCTAGCTCAGAGGAGGCAGCCAGGGAGGGCTTCCTGGAGGAAGGAGGCCACCCTCTCAATATAGAAGCCTAAAATTGTGAAAGAGTGTGCCTGGCCCAGGAAACAACCTGGCCAAAGGCATGGCACTTCTAGAGAAGTGCTAGTGACATGATAGGGTTGGAGAAAGGCACAGGTGAGGGAAGGAGGGGAGGTTTTAGGGAGTGGAGGGCTGGGGTGGAAGGATGAGGTCATTTGTCCCAGTGGACTTTCTGTGGCTCTGGAGCGCCCTCTTTTGCCCCAGGCAGGAAGGCAGAGGGGAGCCTGGTAAAGGAACCACCACAATTTGATGTGGCTATGCAGACTTGGCGAGGGGAAGGGCCTGGGGACTGGGACTGGGACTACAGCCTCTAGTTCCATGAAGCCGCCCTACTGCCCTGGGAAGACCCCAGGTTTTCAGCCTTGTGAGACCCGCTCTGGGTCGGTGCCTCCAGGCGCTGGGGCGGCTCGCACAGGCTGTTCTGTGGTGGGGAAGAGAGTCTTGGCTCTTCCAAATTTCCAGCTGTGTAACCTTGGGTGAGTTATGAACTCCCCTGGCCTCAGTTTCCCCCTCTGTAAGATGGAGCTAAAAATAATTGCCCCAGAGGGCTACTGGTGGATGAAATTAATTAATTTATATTTTAGAAAGCACCTGGCACTAGTGTGCACCCAATTCCAGTTAGGAAACATTATTATTAATTGAGAAGAAGAGAAAGTTGGCTTTACCCCAAGGACATGTTGACAGGTGGGCGGAAGGTGTTTCACCAGAAGAGTCTTCAAAGAAGGACCTGATACGCAGCCTCTAGGATTCCCAGACTTGCCTGATCCAAGAAACTCCCTGGGGCTGTGGTTCAAAACATCAGCTTCTGGCCGGGCGCGGTGGCTCATGCCTGTAATCCCAGCACTTTGAGAGGCCGACGGTTGGGGGGTGGATCTCCTGAGGTCAGGAGCTTGAGACTAGCCTGGCCAACATGGTGAAACCCTGTCTCTATTAAAAAAAAAATCCAGATGTGGTGGTGCGCCTGTAGTCCCAGCTACTCGGGAGGCAGAGGCAGGAGAATCGCTTGAACTCGGGAGGTGGAGGTTGCAGGGAGCCCAGATTGCACCAGTGCACTCCAGCCTGGGCGACAGAGCGAGTCTCTGTCTCAAAAACAAAAACAAATAAACCCAAAATATCAGCTCCCCTTCTCCAAGTCTCTGACTGGGCAGGTCTGGGTGGGACAGGTCTTGGGATTTATAAGGAGGCCCCAGGCCTGAGCCTTCTACCAGGCAGGTATGGGGAGCATTCCTCTCTGATGACAAGGACTCACCCAAATGGTTTCTCCTTGGGAAGTGAGTCTTTCTTTCCTTCTTTTCTTTCCTTCTTCTTTCCTTCTTTCCTCCTTTCCTCCTTCCTCCCTTCCTCCCTTCCTTCCTTCCTTCTTTCTGTCTCTTTCCTTCCTTCCTTTCTTTCCTTCTTTCGAGACAAAGTTTCACTCTTGTGGGCTCAGGCTGGAGCGCAGTCGTGCTATCTCGGCTCATCGCAACCTCTGCCTCCCGGGTTCAAGTGATTCTCCTGCCTCAGCCTCCCGAGTAGCTGGGATTACAGGTATGCACCACAACGCCCAGCCAGTATTTTTTTTTTTTTTTTTGAGATGGAGTCTCGCTCTCTCTCCCCGTCTGGAGTGCAGTGGTGCAATCTCGGCTCACTGCAAGCTCCGCCTCCCGGGTTCATGGCATTCTCCTGCCTCAGCCTCCCGAGTAGCTGGGACTACAGGCATCTGCCACCACGCCTGGCTAATTTTTTGTGTTTTTTTTATTTTTTATTTTATTTTATTTTATTTTTTTCAGATGGAGTTTCGCTCTTGTTGCCCAGGCTGGAGTGCAGTGGTGTGATCTCGGCTCACTGCAACCTCCGCCTCCCAGGTTCAAGCAATTCTCCTGCCTCAGCCTCCCTAGTAGCTGGGATTACAGGCATGTGCCACCACGCCCACCTAATTTTGTATTTTTAGTAGAGACGGGGTTTCTCCACGTTGGTCAGGCTGGTCTCGAACTCCCAACCTCAGGTGATCCACCCACCTCGGCCTCCCAAAGTGCTGGGATTACAGGCGTGAGCCACCGCGCCTGGCCAATTTCTTTGTATTTTCGGTTGAGACGGGGTTTCTCCATGTTGGTCAGGCTGGTCTGGAACTCCCAACCTTAGGTGATCTGTCCACCTTGGCCTCCCAAAGTGCTGGGATTACAGGCGTGAGCCACCGTGCCCGGCCTGAATCTTTCAAAATACTTTTAAAAACCCTACTGTTTATTGAGCATGTACTGCCCGCCTGGCACTGCTCTGAGCCTCATCCGTGTTGATTCATGTCATCCTCACCACAATCCTATGTCGCAGTAGGTACTAAGATTTGTTCCCATTTCACTGATGGGGAAACTGAGACCTACAGAAGCTAAGAAACTTGCCCAACATCACAAAAACCCTGTGACTTGTGAGGCGTCCACCTGGACATGGGCTCTTACCCACTGGTTTGCAGTTTCCCAACCTGCCTCAGGGTCCTTGAACACTTGATGAAATTCCTCCAGGAGTCTTGGGTAGGAGCTGGGATCCTTACTTTTCACTCTTTTGCCCTCTAAGTTTGTGACGTTTGAATCAAGAAATGGCCGAATGCTTGAGGCCCAGAGTTTGAGACCAGCCTAATGAACACAGTGAGACTCCATCTCTAGGGTGTGGTGGCACATGCCTGTAATCCCAGCTCCTTGGGAGGCTGAGGCAGGAGAATTGCTTGAAGCTGGGAAGCGGATGTTGCAGTGAGCTGAGATCATGCCATTGCACTCCAGCCTGGGTGACAGAGCGAGACTCCATCTCAAAAAGAAAAAGAAAAGAAAAGAAAAGAAAATGAGCTGGGCATGGTGGTGCTACTCAGGAGGCTGAGGCAGGAGGATCGCCTGAGCCCAGGAGTTTGAGCAGGCTGCAGTGAGCCATGATTGCACCACTGCGCTCCAGCCTGGGCCACAGGGCAATTCCTAGTCTCAAAAAAAAAAAAAAAAAAAAAAAAAAAAAGGCCAGTTCTGCTTTAAACCCCACTGGAGAGGCAGAAGACTGGGGTTCAACTTCCTAGGCCCTACTTACTTTCTTTGGGGTGGTCTTGGGTAGTTCCCTCACCCTGAACTTTGGTTTCTGTATTTCTAAAATGGGGATACAGTACCTCCCTGGATACCATCCCTGAGTTACCTGAGACTGGGCTTGGGAAAGAGGTTTGCGAATGGTTCAGGCTGTGGGTTCCTGGGACCCAGGGGTGGTAGGCTCAGGGATAGGAGTGTGGACAGTCCAGGAGTTGCTCAAGCTTGTCTAGCCCCCAGAGCTAGGCTCTTTCCTAGCTAGTGTCATCAGTGGCTGGGGAGGTCATGCCACGATGGCAAAGTTGGGGGTGGCAGGAGTAGTAGGGAAGTCTGGTTGTGAGCCTGCCTTCTCCCATCCACCCCACCTGACACCCAGCACGCCCTGGCTGGCAGTTGCTAGTGATTCACCAGCTTTAAGCCCTAGTTTCATTTGTAATCAGGAAACGGGCCACTAGAGAGCCCGGGGCACTTTCTGGTGAGCCCAGACACCCTCCCAGAAACCTAGTGGGGAGGAGGAAAGCAGAGGGCCTGGTCCCAGAGAATTTGCATAATTTGTTCTTTGAGGAGGGTGAGAAATCCCCAGGGCCCAATTTCCCTGGAAACCATTTGCTCATGAGCTCATTCATTCTCGTTTATTAAACTCCTGCACTGTGCCAGTTACCAGGGACCTAGACAAGAACAGTGAAGTTTTCCGGGGGCTTCTGGGAGGGGAAGACCACCGTGTAATCGGGGTAACCCTTGCACAGCACAGTGAGGGATGTGTTTACAAAATTTGGAATCCACGGAGGAGAGGGTGGTGCATTTGGGCTTGGTATGGGTAAGGGGAGGTTCAACAATTCTGAGGCCCCTACCAGGAGGGTTGACAGTGCAGGCTGGGTTTGGCTCCTTCTGCCACTTTTTTTTTTTTTGACATAGAGTGTTGCTCTGTCGCCCAGGCTGGAGTGCAGTGGCTCGATCTTGGCTCACTGCAAGCTCCGCCTCCCAGGTTCACGCCATTCTCCTGCCTCAGCCTCCTGAGTAGGTGGGACTACAGGCGCCCACCACCACGCCTGGCTAATTTTTTGAATTTTTAGTAGAGATGGGGTTTCACCGTGTGAACCAGGATGGTCTCGATCTCCTGACCTTGTGATCCGCCCGCCTCGGCCTCCCAAAGTGCTGGGATTACAGGCGTGAGCCACCGTGCCCGGCCTCCTTCTGCCACTTCTGAATGGTTCTTCTCCCATCTGGGCCTTGGTTTTCCCATCCGTGAGCTGGACACAGGAATGGTGGCTTTTTCCTGGTGTTGTTATGAGAATCCAAAGGGTTAACACATGTAAAGAGCTTACGACAGCACCTGGTGTATGGTCAGCCTTGTGATGTTTTAGCTGATGCCACTGCTGAATGGTGGGTACTGTGGGAGGGGCTGCCCAAGACATGGGTTGGAGCATGCCTGGCAGACAGGGAGAGGACATGCCAGGGGAAGGCCACTGCCTGTGCAAATGCCCAGAGGTGTGTAGCACATGGATGTGTTGGACAGTGGTGGGGTGAGAGGTGGGAAGGAGCATTTGAAGATACTATCATTCCCTTTGGATATTCTCCTCAGGGCAGCAGGGAGCCATGGAAGGCTCTTGAGCAGAGGAGTGACATGGTAGAGCTGAACGCCAGGGCTACAGAGTGGTGATGGACTGGAGGGGCCAGACCAGGGCAGAGGGACCAGTTAGGAGTAGGCACAAGAAGCCTGGTGGGAGATGGGGTTCCTGAACGAGGGCATTAGTTCTGGGGATGGAGAGGCCAGGAGAGGACTAGTGGAGGGGGTGGGGCATGTAGCTGAGCTGCTGGTGATGAAACAAGGAGCGAGGAACACAGTGGGCTGAGGGAGATGGAGGAGTGTGAGTGTCCTGGAAGCCATTGATTCAGAAGATACTAATATACTTAGCAGGGGATGTTGAAGGAGGACTTTGAAATGTCTGTAGTAGTCGTCCAGGGGATCAGCAAGGGAAGGGCATCCCAGACAGAGAGCTGCCAAAGCAAGAGTGCAGAGGTGTCAAATAGCCTGTGTGTTTGGAGAGCAGTGGGTGTGGTGGAGTTTGGGTTTTGGGGGGAAGTAGGGGGCCAGGAGTTTGGGGCCTTGGGCACAATCCTGTAGGCTATTAGGAGTGGGAGTCAGTGAACCGAGTGGCAGGAAGAAAATTTAAACATCTCTATTAGTTTCCTGTGGCAGCTGTAACAAATGACCACAATCTTGGTGGCTTAAAACAATAAAAATTTATTCTCTCCACGCCAGGTGCAGGGCTCTCGCCTGTGATCCCAGCACTTTGGGAAGCCAACGCAGGAGGATCGCTTGAGCCCAGTAGTTCGAGACCAGCTTGGGCAACATAGTGAGACCCTCATCTCTACAAAAAACTTTAAAAAATTAGCTGGACATGGTGGTGTGAGCTGGGAGTCCCAGCCACTTGGGAGGCTGAGGTGGGAGAATCGCTTGAGCCCAGGAGGTCAAGGCTGCAGTGAGCTATGATCACACCACTGCACTCCAGCCTGGGCAATAGAGCAAGACCCTGTCACTGAAAAACAAACAAACAAAAATGATTAGTTCTGGAATCCAGAAGTCTGAAATCAAGGTGTTGGAGGGGCCCCGCTCCCTCTGAAGGTGCTAGGGGAGAATCCTTCCTTGCCTCTTCCCGCTTCTGGTGGCTCCAGGTGTCCTTGCCTTATGGCAGCCTCGCTCCTGCCTCTGCCGACATTTCCGTGTAGCTCCCTCTGTGTCAGCATCTTCTCTTCTTGTAAGGACACTTGTCAGTGGATTTGGCCCCCCACGGATAATCCAGGACGATCTCATCTTGAGATCCTTACTTTTTTTTTTTTTTAAGATGGAGTTTCGTTCTTGTCACCCAGGCTGGCGTGCAATGGTGCAATCTGGTCTCACTGCAACCCTCTCCTCCCGGGTTCAAGCGATTCTCCTGCCTCAGCCTCCCAAGTAGCTGGAATTACAGGCATCCGCCACTACGCCTGGCTAATTTTTTATTTATATTTTTAGTAGAGAGGGGGTTTCGCTGTGTTGGTCAAGCTTGTCTTGAGCTCCTGACCTCAGGTGATCCGCCAGCCTCAGCCTCCCAAAGTGCTGGGATTACAGGAGTGAGCCACCGCGCCCGGCCGAGATTCTTATCTTCATTACATTCGCAAAGACTCTTTTTTCAAATAAGACTGTATTCCCTGGTCCCAGGTGGACGTGTCTTTTGCAGGGGGGCCACCAGTCAACCCACTGCAAAATCCCCAGGCAGTGCCCTCTCCCACGTTCCTCTCCTCCTTGGGGCTCCCAGCCCCTCCAATCCAGCCTCCTTGAGTAGGAACTGTGTGGTCCTCATTCACTTTTCCACCCCTAGGGCCCAGAGTGGGCAGTGTGTTTGCAAATATAACTCCGTTCCTCTCTTCTTCCCTCCCTCCCTCCAGTAACCGATGCCACCAGAGGCTAGAACTGGTGCTGCACCTGTGGGACGAGGGCGCCACCGTGTGTCCAGCTTGGAGCAGTGTGGTCACAGGCTTGAGCCCAGCCCCTGCCCTGCTGACAGCCACTTACAGAGCGCCTGCCCCACCAGTCACTCCACCCACATCAGCCCTCTTCTTCATGGCCGCAGTATAAAGAGGGAATTACTATCCAGTTTTTCAGATAAGGAGACTGAGGCTGAGACCTTGCTAACGTCACCCAGCCTTCAGCTGCCGCCAACTCCAAAGCCACACCCACGCCATGCTGTGGACCAAAACTAGACCTGTGCGTGGGTCTGGGCGTGAGCCTTCAGACTTCTCAGGGTGTCCTGCTATTGGGAAGCTGACGCAGGAGGATTGCTTGAGCCCAGTAGTTCGAGACCAGCTTGGGCAACATAGTGAGACCCTCATCTCTACACCTCTTCTGTAAAGGGGGGAAGGTGCCAAGGACCGCCCTTGCCAGGTGGCCCCTTCCCCGTCTCTGGCCCTGAGAGAGACCTGCAGACCCCTGAGGCCTGTGGGTCTTGGGGGAATGAATTTTTGGGGAATACAATTCTGAGTACTTTCCAAACATTAGTCTTTTTGAATATTTTGGTGTTCATTGTTTTTCTCTAAACATTTGCATATGTGTGAACTATTTAGTGATTTAAAAAATATACTTAACTGGGTTAAAACTTTACGTAGGGCTGAGTGCAGTGGCTCACGCCTGTAATCCCAGCCCTTTGGGAAGCCACGGTGGGCGGATCACTTGAGGTCAGGAGTTTGAGACCAGCCTGGCCAATATGGTGAAACCCTGTCTCTACTAAAAATACAAAAATTAGCCGGCTGTGGTGGTGCATGCCTGTAATCCCAGCTACTCGGGAGGCTGAGGCAGGAGAATTGCTTGAACCGGGGAGGTGGAGGTTGCAGTGAGCCAAGATTGTGCCACTGCACTTCAGCCTGGGCGATGGAGTGAGACTCTGTCTCAAAAAACAAAAGAAAACGAAACCAACTTTATGTAGGCCTCCAGTTCCCCTCTAAAAGACAACAGCTGGCTGGGCGCAGTGGCTCACGCCTGTAATCCCAGTACTTTGGGGAAGCCAAGGCAGGAGGTTCACTTGAGGCCAGGGCTTCGAGACCAGCCTGGGCAACATAGTGAGACCCTGTCTCTATTTAAAACAAACAAACAAAAAAGGCCTGGCACCGTGGCTCATGCCTGTAATCCCAGCACTTTGGGAGGCTGAGGCAGGCGGATCACCTGAGGTCAGGAGTTTGAGACCAGCCTGGCCATGCGGCGAAACCCTTACTAAAAATACAAAAATTAGCCAGATGTGGTAGCGGTGGGGGGTGCCTGTAATCCCAGCTCCTCAGGAGGCTGCGGCAGGGAAAATTGCTTGAACCCGAGAGGTGGAGGTTACAGTGAGCCAAGATCGCACCATGGCCCTCCAGCCTAGGCAACAGAGCGAGACTCCATCTCAAAAAAAAAAAAAAAATAAAATAAATAAATAAAAAATAAATGAAAAACAATAACTGATGGCAGTTTCCTCCATATTCTCCCAGAGATGATCTGGGATGATTTATATATGTATATATGTATGTACATGTACACAGTATATGCAGACACACACACCACACACACATTCCCCCACTTCTTTTTAAAAGCAAATGGTGGCATACGATATACAATTCTCTACTGTCTTTTTCCACATAATGACATTTTTGCATTTATTCCATATGATTGCATATAATTTACCTTTGGGGGTTGTATTAGTTTGGGCTTCCTTAACAAACTACTATAGACTGGGGGGCTGAAATAGCAGAAATTGATTTTCTCACAGTCTGGAGGTTGGAAGTCCAGGATCAAGGGATGGGAATAGTGGCTTCTTCCCAGGCCTCTCTCCTTGGCTTGTAGATGGCCATCTTCCCATCATCTTTCTTCTGTACACATCTGTGTCCAAATCTCCTCTTCCTATAAGAGGCAAGGGTACTATTTTGATTGACATTATATACATGAAATAAGTGTATACAGAGTGAGCGCGCCATGTAGCCAGTAACCGAATAAAGGCCCAAATCATACTGGATTAGGGTTTGCCCTAAAGACCTCATTTTAACTTTTTTTTGAGACAGGGTCTCGCTCTGTTGCCCAGGCTGGAGTGCAGTGGCATGATCTTGGCTCACTGCAACCTCCGCCTTCCCGGTTCAAGTGATTATCCTGCTTCAGTCTCCCGAGTAACTGGGATTACAGGCATGCACCACCACGCCCAACTAATTTTTGTATTTTTAGTAGAGATGAAGTTTCACATGTTGGCCAGTCTGGTCTCAAACTCTTGTCCTCAAGTGTCCCCTCGGCCTCCCGAAGTACTGGGATTACAGGCGTGAGCCACTGCGCCCAGCCCCTCATGTTAACTTAGTCACCTCTTTATGCTTTGTTTTTGTTTTTAGAGACAGTCTCGCTCTGTTGCCCAGGCTGGAGTGCAGTGGCACAATCACGGCTCACGATAGTCTTGACCTCCTGGGCTCAAGCTATCCCCCTGCATCAGCCTCCAGGGTAGCTAGGACCTCAGACAGGTACCACTGCACCTGGCTAATTTGTATGGGGGGAGGGTCTCACTACAGTGCCAGGCTGTTCTCCAACTCCTGGGCTCAAGCCATCCTTACACCTCAGCCTCCCAAAGTGCTAGGATTACAGGTGTAAGCCACCTCACCCAGTCTTTTTTTTTTTTTTTTTGAGACAGAGTCTTGCTCTGTCACCCAGGCTGGAGTGTAGTGGCGCAATCTCGGCTCACTGGAACCTCTGCCTCCCAGGTTCATGCGATTCTCCTGCCTCAGCCTCCTAAGGAGTTGGGATTACAGGCATGCACCACCATGCCCAGCTAATTTTTGTATTTTTAGTAGAGATGGGGTTTTGCCATGTGGGCCAGGCTTGTCTAGAACTCCTGACCTCTGGTGATCTGCCCGCCTCGACCTCCCAAAGGGCTGGGATTACCGGCGTAAGCCACCGCGCCCAGCTTACCCAGTCTTCAGTCACCCCTTTAAAGACCTTATCTCCAAATATGATCACATCCTGAGATACTGGGGGTTAGGACTTCAACATATGGATTTTTGGGGAGCGCACATCAGCCCATGGCAGAGAAGCAGGGGTACAGTTTTAGTTGAAATATTATATATATGAAATAAGTGTATACACAGTGAGCACACCATATAGCCAGAAACCAAATAAAGACACAGAACACAGCCAGCCCCCATGAACCCCTGTGAGCCCACTTTCTACAATTCCTCCCACAAGGAAGGAGTATCCTGATCTTGCAGATTTTAACCTGGTTTTGTCCTCTGCGTAAATGGAATCCTGTCCTCTTTTCTGTCTGGCTTCCTTCACTCAACATTATGTTTATGGGATTCGTCCACGATGTTGCCTGTAGTTATACATTTATTATTTATTTTCACTGCTGTGTAGTAGCACTCCACTGTGTGAATATACCACTTTTTAAATTTATTTATTTATTTATTTTTTGAGACAGGGTCTCGCTCTGTCGCCCAGGCTTGAGTGCCGTGGTGTGATCTTGGCTCACTGCAACCTCTGCTTCTCAGATTCAGACGATTCTCGTGCTCACTGTAGCCTTGACCTCCTGGGCTTGAGTGATCCTTTCCGGCAGCTGGGACTACAGGCCATGTGCCACCATACCTGGCTAATCTTTAAATTATTTTTTGTAGAGACTGGATCTCACTATGTTGCCCAGGCTGGTCTGGAACTCCTGGGCTCAAGCAATCTTCTTGCCTTGGCCTCTCAAAGTGTTGAGATTACAGGAGTGAGCCACTGTGCCCAGTGATGTATTTAGATCTTATTTAATTTCCCACAATAATGTCATTTTATTAATTTTAAAAATTGAAATATAACTCACATACAATAAAATTCACCTGTTTTAAACTGTACAATTTAGTGGGTTTTTGTTTGTTTGTATATTTATTTATTTATTGAGATGGAGTTTGGGTCTTGTTGCCCAGGCTGGAGTGCAATGGCATGATCTTGGCTCACTGCAACCTTCACCTCCTGGGGTTCAAGCAATTCTCCTGACTGAGCCTCCCAAGTAGCTGGGATTACAGGCATCTCTCACCATGCCCAGCTAATTTTGTATTTTTAGTAGAGACAGGGTTTCACCTTGTTGGTCAGGCTGATCTCGAACTCCTGACCTTGTGATCCACCCCCCTCGGCCTCCCAAAGTGCTGGAATTACAGGTGTGAGCCACTGCGCCTGGCCAGGTTTTTAGTATATTTAAAAAGTTGTGCAGTCATCACCACTACCTAATTTCCAGATATGTTTTCACTCCCGCCAAAACCTCATACACCACCTGTCACCCTCCATTCCTGTCATTCTCTGTTTCCCCTTCCCCTAGTCCCTAGCAACTACTAATTCCTTTCTGTCTCTATGGATTTGCCTGTTTTGGACTTTCCATATAAATGGGATCATACAATCTATGGCCTTTTGTGTCTGACATCTTTCACTTAGTGTAATGTTTTCAAGGTTCATCCATGTGGTAGCACATATTGGAACTTTATTTATTTTTATGGCTGGAATGATACATTTATTATCCACTCACCCATGCATGTGTATTTGGATCGTTGATACTTTTGTTCTATTATGAATAATGCTGCTATGAACATCATGTGTAATGAACATGATGTGTGGGCATGTATTTTCAATTCTCTTGGGTATTTTATACCTAGGAGTGAAGTGGCTGGGTCATATGGTAACTCTATATTTAACTTTTTGAGGAACTGCTAAACCGTTTCCCAAAGCAACCGTGCCATCGTACATTCGCACTAGCAATGTGTGAGGGAGCTAATTTCCCCACCTTCTGGCGAACACTTGTTTTGTTTGTCTTTTTGATTACAGCCATCTGAGTGTGTGCGAAGTGGTATCGGATTGTGGTTTGGATCTGCTTTTCCTAGTGACTCATACATAACGACGTTCTGTAGTTTTCAGTGTACAGATCTTGCACATCTTTTGTTTGGTTTATTCCTACCAAGTTGATGTTTTTGATGCTTCCATAAATGGCTTCATTTTAAAAATAGACTTTCTTTATTTTTTAGAGCAGTTTTAGGTTCATAGTAAAATTGAGCGTAAAGTACAGAGATTTCCCATATAACACCCACCCCCCTAACTCAGAATTCTCCATGAACATCACACACCAGAGTGGCACATTTGCTATAATCAGTGAAGGTACATGGATAGATACATCTTTAACCCAAGGCCTATAGTTGACATAAGCTTCATTGTAAATGCTTGGTGTCCATTCTATGGAATTGACAAATTATAATGACATGTATCCACCATTATAGTATCATAGTCAATAGTTTCACTGCCCTAAAAATCCTTTGTGCTCCACCTAATCATCCCCTCCTTCCCCGGGGCCCCTGGCAAACACTGATCCTTTTGCCATCTCCATAGTTTTGCCTTTTCCAGAATATCATATAGTTGAGATCACACAGTATGTAGCCTACTCACACTGGTTTCTTTCACTTAGCAACATGCAGTTAAGCTTCCTCCATGTCTTTTCATGGCCTGATAACACATTTCTTTCTTTCTTTTTTTTTTTTTTTGAGATGGAGTCTCACTCTGTCATCCAGGCTGGAATGGCATGGATGGCAGTGGCATGATCTCGGCTCACTACCATCTCCACCTCCTGGGTTCAAGGAATTCTTCTGTCTCAGCCTCCTGAGTAGCTGGGACTACAGGCGCATGCCACCATGCCCAGCTAATTTTTGTAGTTTTAGTAGAGATGGGATTTCATCAGATTGGTCAGGCTGGTCTTGAACTCCTACCTTAGGTGATCCACCTGCCTCAGCCTCCCAAAGTGCTGGGATTATAGGCGCGAGCCACTGTGCCCCGCCTTCTTTTCTTTTTTCTTTTTCTTTTTCTTTTTTTTTAAGAGATGGGGGTCTCCCTGTGTTGCCCAGGCTGGTCTTGAATTCCTGGGCTCAAGTGATCCTTTTGCCTCAGCCTCCTGAGTAGCTGGGACTATAGGCACGTTCCACTGTTCATTTTCTTATTGTTGAGTTTTAAGAGTTTCATATATTTTGGTCGACAGTCTTTTATCAGATATGTCTTTTGCAAATATTTTCTCCTGGTCTTACCTTTTTATTCTCTTGACAGTGTCTTTCTCAAAGCACAGGTTTTGAATTTTAATGAAGCCCAACTCATCAATTCTTTCTTTCTTTCTTTTTTTTTTTTTTTTCAGACTGAGTCTCACTCTGTTGCCCAGGCTGGAGTGCAGTGGTGGGATCTTGGCTCACTGCAAGCTCTGCCTCCCGGGTTCACGCCATTCTTCTGCCTCACCCTCCTGAGTAGCTGGGACTACAGGCACCCGCCACCATGCCTGGCTAATTTTTTGTATTTTTAGTAGAGACAGGGTTTCACCATGTTAGCCAGGATGGTTTCGATCTCCTGACCTCATGATCCGCCCACCTTGGCGCCTCCCAAGTGCTGGGATTACAGGCGTGAGCCACTGTACCTGGCCTCATCAATTATTTCTTTTATGGATTATCTAAAAAGTCATTGCCCTCTTTCTGAGCCCGTGACAAACCAGAAGGAAAAAAATGAAAAGAAAAATAAGGCTGGGTGTGGTGGCTCACGCGTGTAATCCCAGTACTTCCAGAGGCTGAGGCAGGAGGGTTGCTTGAGCCCAGAGGGTTGAGGCCGCAGTGAACCACGATTGTGCCACTGCACTCCAGCCTGGGTGACAGTGCAAGACCCTGTCTCCAAAAACAAAACCAAAAACAGCAACAACAACGGAAAAATAAAAATAAAAAAAAAGTCATTGCCAAACCCGAGGTAATCTAGATTTTCTTCCATATTATCTGCTATGAGTTTAATGGGTTCATTTAAAAAACTTTGTTTATAGACCGGGCGCTGTGGCTCACGCCTGTAATCCCAGTACTTTGGGAGGCCGAGGCGGGCGGATCATGAGGTCAGGAGATCGAAACCATCCTGTCTAACACGGTGAAACCCCGTCTCTACTAAAAATACAAAAAAATTAGCCAGGCGTGGTGGCAGGCGCCTGTAGTCCCAGCTACTCGGGAGGCTGAGGCAGGAGAATGGCGTGAACCTGGGAGGTGGAGCTTGCAGTGAGCTGAGATCGTGCCACTGCACTCCAGCCTGGGCGACAGAGCGAGACCCCGTCTCAAAAAACAAACAAACAAACAAACAAAAAACTTTGTTTATATTTGTGGCTAGTAGACAGAGATATAGTTGATCTTATCTATTGACCCCATATCTAGTGACTTTGTTAAATCCACATAAGTTTTTTGGAGATGTGTGTTTAAGTCTCCTTCCATGACTAGACTTGCCCATTTCTCCTGTTAGTTCCATTGGGCTTTACTTGTATTTTGAAGCTCTGCTATTGGATGTATACAGACTTGGGATTCTGATACCTTCCTAACTGAAATGAAGTTTCTGCTCATGCTTCCTACCTTAAATTCTACTCTTTAACTTTGGGACAGGTACAGCAGATTTTTTTGTGGTTATTGTTTGGGTGATAGATCTCTTTCCATCTTTAAATTCGCAACCTTTCTGTGTTCTTTTCTTTTTTTTCTTTTTTTGAGACGGAGTCTTGCTCTGTTTCCAAGGCTGGAGTACAGTGGCGTGATCTCATCTCATTGCAACCTCTGCCTCCCAAGTTCAAGCAATTCTCTGCCTCAGCCTCCCGAGCAGCTGGGATTACAGGTGACCACCACCACCACCACCAGCTAATTTTTGTATTTTTAGTAGAGATGGGGTTTCACCGTCTTGGCCAGGTTGGTTTTGAACTCCTGACCTCGTGATCCACCCACCCAGTGTGAGCCACTGCGCCGGGCCTTCTGTGCTGTTATATTTAAATCATATATCTTGTAAGTAGCATATAGTGGAGTTTGTTACTTTATTCATCCTGACAGTCTTATCTTTTATTTGGAATATTTGGAATAATTAAAAAAGAACTACATGTTTCAATTTAATCAGTTTGAATCGGTTCTTTCTAACAAAAGGTGAAAGCTCTTTTACATTTTTCCCTATTTCCCCTCCTACTATTATTGTTGATGTTATTTTTGCTTTCTCGGGGTTTATAACACTTAAATGCTGTTTTTTCATCATGCTATAGTCTGAATGTTTCTTCCTAAAATTCATATGTTGAAATCCTAACCTTCAAGGTGATGGATGGTATTAGGAGGTAGGGCATCCAGGCGCAGTGGCTCATGCCTGTAATCCCAGCACTTTGGGAGGCTGAGGCGGGAGAATCACTTGAGGTTAGGAGTACGAGACTAGCCTGGCGAACATGATGAAACCCTGTCTCTACTAAAAATACAAAAAATTAGCCGGGTGTGGTGGCAGGCGCCTGTAATCCCAGCTACTTGGGAGGCTGAGGTAGGAGAATTGCTTGAACCCAGGAGGCAGAGGTTGCAGTGAGCAGAGATCGCGCCATTGCACTCCAGCCTGGGCGAGAGAGCGAGACTCCGTCTCAAAAAAAAAAAAAAAAAAAATTAGGAGGTGGGGCTTTGGGGAGGTGGTTAGATCACGAAGGTGGAGCCCTCACGAGTGGGATTAGTGTCCTTATAAAAGAGACCTTTGAGAGACCCCTCACCCCTTCCATCACGAAGACACAATAAGAAGGCACCATCAATGAACCAGAAAGTGGGCCCTCACCGGACCCAAATCTCCTGACTCCTTGATCTTGGACTTCTCAGCCTCCAGAACTATCTATCAGACTGTATAAAACAGGCTATACCCAGTCCTCCCCTTTCCCCTGAACCTGGGCAGACTTGTATTTTGACTAATATAATATAACAGAAGTGACACTGGCTGACTTCCAAGGCCAGATCATAAAAGGCGATGGCTTCCTCTGGCTGTCTCTTGACATGTGTCTTTGAAACCACCATGTAGGAAGCTGGCTGCCCTGCTGCCACCATGTTGTAGAGGCCAGGTAGTGAGACCACAGAGGACTGATGTCATGTGAGCAGAGATGAGCTGTGTCTGCTGAGTCCTGCCAGTTGCAGATTCCTGAGTTAAGTATATGGTTGTTGCTAAGTCAATGCTGCCATGTTTTTGGGTGGATTCCTATCAGCAATAGATAACTGAAACACCTGCCAACTTTATTCCCCAGTGCCCTCTCTGCTCCACTCCTGCCAGCTGCTGCACCCAGCGACTCAGTTCCCTATTGTAGGAATTTGTTCCACTCTCCCAGGCCCAGCTTCTGCCACATCTCCTCCAGGAAGTCTTCCTGCTTGCAGTAGTGGGCAGTGTTGAAAAGCAAGCCAACTTTATGAACCAGAGTGTGTCTAGGTTCAAATTCCAGGACACATAGCTGGGTGCCCTGGAGCAAGTTACTTGCCTCTGAGCCTCAGTTTCCTCATCCATGAAATCTGGATAGAAATTGTGGCTGCTAGCCGGGCACGGTGGCTCATACCTGTAATCCCAGCACTTTCAGAGGCCGAGGCGGGTGGATTACCTGAGGTCAGGAGTTTGAGACCAGCTTGGCCAACATGGTGAAACCCCGTCTCTATTAAAAATACAAAAATTAGCCAGGAGTGGTGGTGTGCACCTGTAATCCCAGCTACTCAGGAGGCTGAGGCAGGAGAATCGCTTGAATCCAGGAGGTGCAGGTTGCAGTAAGCCGAGATCGCGCCACTGCACTCCAGCCTGGGTGACGAAAGTGAGGCTCAGTCTCAAAAAAAACAAACAAAAAAATATATATATATATAAATAGTGACTGCTTCACAGGTTCGTCGTGGGGAGGAAAGGTGCTCAGAACGCTGCTTAGCATATAACGAGCATTCCATAATGTTGGCAATTATTATTATTATTATTTTTTCTTTTTTTTTTTTTGAGACGGAGTCACACTCTGTCGCCCAGGCCGGACTGCGGACTGCAGTGGCGCAATCTCGGCTCACTGCAACCTCCGCTTCGGAGGGTCAGGCCATCCTTCCACCTCAGCACCCCCCGAGTAGCTGGGACTATGGGCATGTGCCACCACACCCAGCTAATTTTTGTACTTTTCTTGTAGATACAGGATTTCATCATGTTGCCCAGGCTGGTCTCAGACTCCTGGGCTTGAGTGATTTACCTGCCTTGGCCTCTCAAAGTGCTGGGATTACAGCCACGAGCCACCTCACCCAGCCATAATGTTAGCAATTATTATATTGCCCCGAGCGCTAGGGTCCTATCCTGCTCTCTGGGAGCCCGCTCATTGGGAACCTAATTCATACTATTAATTAATTCATTTTACACATATCTCTTGAGAGCACCTGTATGCCAGTCACTGATGAGCTAGGCTTAGTGTGTGGGATTTACTAGGAACCTACTACGTACTATTCATTCATTGATTGTACCTATATCTGTGGAGTACCAGCTGCGCGCCAGGCACTGAGCTAGGCTCTAGGGATGCGGCGATGGAGGTGCGAACACCACCTCTGCTCTCAGGGGTTTACATTCTATAGAGACGGAAGTGGACAAATACATAAAAGAGTTGACAGATTTTGATGAGAGTACCAAAGTGAAAAATAGGGGCTGGAGACAAAAAAGCTAATTGGAGGGCTGGGCATGGTGGCTCACGCCTGTAATCTCAGCACTTGGGGAGGTCCTGGTGGGTCAATCACCTGAGGTCAGGAGTTTGAGACCCGCATGGCCAGCATGGTGAAACCCCATCTCTACCAAAAATACAAAAAATTAGCCAGGCGTGGTGGCGGGTGCTTATAATCCCAGCTACTCTGGAGGCCGAGGCAGGAGAATCGCTTGGACCTGGGAGGTAGAGGTTGCAGTGAGCCGAGATCGCACCATTGCACTCCAGCCTGGGCAACAAGAGTGAAACTCCGTCTCAAAATAAAATTAAAATAAAATAAAATAAAATAAAACAAAATAAAATAAAATAAAACAAAATAAAACAAAATAAAATAAAATAAAATAAAATAAAATAAAAAATTGGAGGATCTCCTTCCTACTCGGTGGGCAGGGAGACCTCCCTGAGGAGAGGACCTGTGAGCAGAGAACCAAAGGGTGTTTTGGAGCGGGGCATGAGGAAAGGGGAGGGAAAAGCATTCCAGACAGAGGGGTGGAGCTAGTCCAGAGGTGTCTTTGGGGCCAGGTGTGCGGGACTTAGGCCAGGATGGGCACGGGAGTGGCGGGGGGGTGGGGGGAATGAGCAGAATTTGCTGCCACCCCGATTGCTGGTCATGGGTTGTCCCAGCAGATAGGATACTCATAGATGACAACAGCCAACACTGTGCTGAACACCTACTATGTGGAGGCCACTGTGCTAAGCTATTTATGTGTATTAACTCATTCTGTCCTCGGAACAACCCTATCCGGTAGGTGCTGTTAAATAAAATGCATGGGAGGCCATTGTTTCAGACTAGCCTCCTGTACTAGGCCCATCCTACCAGACCAAATCAGAAAGGAGTCACTTGTGCTAAGAGCTCCATGCTCAAACTGAACTTTGAAATGGGTCTGTTTCTCTAGAGAACAGGAGCTTCCAGTCAACCTGAGTCACTGGCCTAAGGAAGTCTTCTCTGCTGTAACCCTTTACAAGGAAAGTAACTGTGAAACAACCATTCCGTTTTTCGTTCTCTGTCTCTGCCCTCTTTAGCACCTCTCTGCCTATAAAAAAGCTAACATCCTCTGTTCAGCTTATTGGAATCTCCCTTCTATTTCACAGAGGGAGGTGTTGCCTGATTCTAGAATTGCAAATAAAAGGCAATTAGATTTTTTTTTTTTTTGAGATGGAGTCTCACTGTGTTGCCCAGGCTGGAGTGCGGTGGTGCTATCTCAGCTCACTGCAACATCCACCTCCCGGGTTGAAGCAATTCTCCTGCCTCAGCCTCCCTAGTAGCTGGGATTACAGGCATCTGCCACCACGCCCAGCTAATTTTTGTATTTTAGTAGAGACGAGGTTTCACCATGTTGGCCAGGCTGGCCTCGAACTCCTGACCTCAAGCAATCCACCTGCCTTGGCCTCCCAAAGTGCTGGGACTACAGGTGTGAGCCACTGCACCTGGCCCTAAAAGCCAATTAGATCTTTAAACTAAGCGTGTTGTCATTTGACATTACTCCTATCCTCCCCATAAGGAGACTGAGGCCCAGAGAGAGGGTGTGAATGCAGGTGCTCCGGCTCCAGAGCCGGTGCTCCTGACCCCAGGCCATGCTGCTGTCCCTTTCGTTCAGGCCGCCCCCACTGCACAGGGATGGAAAATGGGGCCCAGAAAGGAGGTGTCAACTCCCCAAAGTCCAGTAACAAAAGAGTGGCAGAGTAGGGATTTCAACTTGGGTTTCCACAGCCACAGAGGCTGCTCATTCTCCCAAGAGTGCGTTGAGGCTGACATAGGTGGCTGGGTGGGACCGGGGCGCTCTGCCCGTGGCCTTACCTGAGCCTGGGCCTCCTCACTTGGACCTGGGGTAGTCACAGGCCCCGCCCCCTGGGGTAGCGTGAGATGGAATGAGTTCGGCACCTGGCACAGTCCATAGTGTGAACCCCAGTGGGACAGTTATTCACCAGCCTTCCGGGCAGGGATGGCCCACTCACCAGCTGCTCCTCCCCTGTGCGAGGGGCGCCTGAGTCATGGGAACAAGGACGAACAGGACTGAAACTGTGCAAGTTAAAGCAAGCGAAGGACAAGGATCCCTGTGGGAGCCTGGCATGAGACTTCTGGGCTCTGGGCCTTTGCACTGACCGTTCCTCCTGCCTGGAGCACCTTTCCTCTTTTGCCTCTTCTTCTGCTTTAGTTTTTGATGCCCCTGGGCAGAGTCGAGGATTTCCTCCTCTCATCGCTGCCAGCAACTTAAAGTGGTTGGGTATGAACCTGCTTCCTCAAAGCAGTGCTTGGGTTGGTCCATTCATTTGGATCCTCAGGGCAACAAACAGGGCTGGGCACAGAGACTGGCAGGGGACTGTGCTGGCAGGTGGGGGAATGTCACAACCTGGGCTGCAGGGTGAGGGGCGGGGCAAGGCAGGCCCTCATCCCACACTTAACATCTGTGATAATTCCCTTTCAGGTCCACACGTGCCCACTGTGGGACCTCACCAAACTTGTTCCATCATCTGAAAAGTGGGGAGAATAGGAGGATTTACCTCCTGGGTTTATTAGGAAGATTTAAGGAGCTAACCCTGGAAAATGCTGGTACGTCATATGTTGGGTGCATAGTAAGGGCTCAAAACTGTTTGCTACTGAGCAAAGTGTTTGTCACTGAGTGCCAACTTTGTGCCAAGCACTTCACATAAAGTCATTCATTTAATCAGACACAACCATGATTGTCTCTACACATCGGTCCTGTCCAGGGTCATGACCTCACGACCTCACTGATCTGGGATTTGAATCCAGGTCAGGATGATTCCGTGGTTGGGACTCCATGGTTGAGTGGGTGGTTGGGTGGGCGGCAGAGGAAGGCACGCCAGCCCGCGGAGCCCCAGTGACTCAGAGCCGTGGCTCCCCTGGCCCGCCCTTTCCTCTGACTCAGCCCCAGTGATTCCACAGGCACACTGGAATTCAGGGCCCCAGGCAGAGTTCCTCCATGGAGATGCTGGTGGGTGGCTTGAGCTCCCATGGCCACCCTTGGCTGTGTCCTGTGGCCCCCTGGGAGCTCCTCTCAGGTGCAGGGGGCTTGCCAGGGTGAGCATCTCCCTCCAACCACCTTGTGGTGCAGAGGGGCAAACTGAGGCACAGAGAGGGGCAGGGACGGGGCTGAATGGCACAGTCTCAGCGATGGGAGCCAGGTCTGGGGAGCCCAGCTTCAGTTTTCTCTGTCTTTTCCCAGCCTGCCCCAGCCCCATCTCTCACCTCCTGGCACAGCTTCCTGCCCCATCCCTGGATATCCCCAGCCTAACCCAGCTTCTTGCCCAGCCCAAGGCCAGGCAGTAGGCAGACATCTCCATAATTGGTCTGAATTAGGGTGAGGGTGGGTCAGCATTTCTACTCCTTGCTGTCAAGGCTGCTGGGGGTGGCCATGGGAGAAAGGGAAGGTGGGGACAGGGCCACCCTTCCTCTGGCCCCTGCAGGAGTCCCCGGTTCTCAGGGAGATGCAGTCACCTGATACTGGAGGGCCAGCACCATCCCTTTGGCTGTTCCTATCTCGCTTCCTTGTGCTCTGCTCTCCCTGCCTTGGGGAACCCAGGGCTCGCTTGGGCCACTGCAACCTCAGTTTCCCCAGTACATACAAAATAATAAAAAAATTTTTTTTTTGAGACAGAGTCTCGCTCTGTCGCCCAGGCTGGAATGCAGTGGCACCATCTTGGCTCACTGCAACCTTTGGCTCCCGGGTTCAAGCGATTCTCCTGCCTCAGCCTCCCAAGTAACTGGGATTACAGGTGCCCGCCACCACATCTGGCTGATTTTTGTATTTTTAGTGGAGATGGGGTTTCACCATGTTGGCCAGGCTGGTCTCGAATTCCTGACCTCAAGTGATCTGCCCATCTTGGCTTCCCAAAGTGCTGGGATTACAGGTGTGAGCCACCGTGCCCAGCTATAAAATAAAGGTCTTAAGGATCCTTTCAGCCTAGACTCTTGTGATTGGGCACAATAGCCTCCCCAACCCCTTCTCTCCCCAGTCCCATAGAATAGGACCTAGGGAGCCGGACACGGTGGCTTACGCTTGTAATCCCAGCACTTTGGGAGGCCGAGGCAGGCAGATCACAAGGTCAGGAGTTCGAGACCAGACTGGCCAATATGGTGGAACCCCATCTCTACTAAAAATACAAAAATTAGGTGGGTGTGGTGGCAGGCGCCTGTAATTCCAGCTACTAGGGTGGCTGAGGCAGGAGAATTGCTTGAACTCAGGGATCGGAGGTTGCAGTGAGCCAAGATCATGCCGCAGCATTCCCGCCTGGGCGACAGGGCAAGACTCCATCTAAAAAAAAAAAAAAAAGAATAGGACCTAGGGAAAGCTGCTATGTAAAGGTGCCCCGGGGGACACTGGGCAATGGGGAGGGGAAGTGACATCTCTGGACGAATTCAATTGAGGATGGGCATTTAGCATCTGTCTTGTGCTCAGGCTGTGCTAGAGTCCCTCAGATGAGGGGTAGAGAAACGTTTAGGAACTTGACCAAGATCACAGGCACACATTGTCCTGGAATTTGAACCCTGGGCGTTCTGGCTGTGGTGTAGTGCAGCTCATCACAGGAATTCTCCCCACTCTTGGGCCCACTCACTCGTCTCCTGCTGAACACCTGACTGCCAGGTCCTGTGCTGGGATCCATGCGGCCCAGGCCCTGATCCTAGTGAAGAGATGGCCAGAGGAGGCGAGATGGGGCTGGGGGTTGGGGTCAGGGAGCACAGATTCACCAGGCACCCAGACTTATGGACTAGATAACTCCAGACCCACATTCCTGGATGCAATCAGAGGCTGACAAAGAGGAACGGAAGGGTTGCTTGGGCCAGGGGCATCCTTGAAGGAATGAACAAAAAGGTGGATCCCTGCTTCTGTGGCCTTTGTGGCTGATTTGTGGAAGACAATGATAGCGGCGTATTACTACCAAGAAAAGTAAAGGCCAAAGTCCTCATAATGATCTTCAAGGCCTTTGCTCTGTCTGCCCCCCTTCCAATCCTCCTTCAACCTCCTCTCCTCCCCTGCTCCACTCCTCATCCTCACCACTCTTGGAACATTCCAGCTCACTCCTGCTAGCCAAGGACGGCTCTGTTCTTGGGATGGAAGTAGGCAACAAACAGGTTGCTGACATTTTCCTGGTGCAGCAAAGCAAGCACCAGGAAAATGTCAGATAGAGAGGAAATAGCTCTCGGGGCTCAGAAAGTGATACCTGCCAAATAAGGCGCTTTGATAGGCTGAATAAAGACGCAACCTCAAGGTCTCTCTGCCAACCTTTCCCCCATCCTCTCTGTCAATCCTCTGTCTCTCCCAAAGCACAGGAGGAGGCTGTTCTCCGAAGTTCCCTTATCTGCTAGAAACTGGACCCCAAAGAGGAACACGATTGCTTTCGATCCCTTCCCTGAAATTTCATTAACTGGAGATTAAAATTCATATCACAGAGGAAGAGAAAATTAAACACCACATCTAGAGTCCAGACAAACTTTGTCCCAAATGAGTGTTTCTTCTTCGGTCCCACTCAATTTCCAAAGAAAATCATCTGTAAGATAATGTCTGCCTCCCAGGCCCATTAATGCCTCCTAACAGTCATTCACTCCTACAGCCCCGTCTCCCCTTCCCCAGCGAAGAAGCGGATATAAACATCTGGACCTCAATGGATAACTGGGTAATCATTCTCCTATGATTCCCCTGTGCTAGGCATGTTAAATACATTTTTTATGCTTTTTTTCTTCTATTTATCTGCCTATTGTCAGTGCATTTCCGGCAAACCTCTAGAGGGAGAAGGAGAAGCTGTCCTTTGGCCCCTACGTAGCACAGAATTGCTTGGATGGGGTGTATGGAACTCCCTGCTGGAGGGTGCTCCTGAATCAAGGGAGGGGGAATTTGATCTGAGACCTGAAAAGCTAGAAGGAACCCTCCGTACCAGGAGTGGAGGGATGAGCAGTCCCAGCAGAGGCAACAGGGTGGACAAGGGCCTTGATGTGGAAGAAGCTGACAGGTTCCAAGAACAGAATGAGACTAGTGAGCGAGTGGGGCAGTGGGAAGTGGGAGGCGGGGGAGCCAGCAGGGTCTGGGGGCAGTTTGCATTTTATTCCAGTTTGGTGGAAACCATTAAGAGGTTTTAAGCCAGAGAAAAACCTGTTATGTTTTTAAAACCATCATTCTTTCCAGCTTAGGCAACGTGGCAAGACCCCTCTCTACCAAGGGTAAAAAAAGTAGCCGGGCATGGTGGTGCATATGTGCAGTCCCAGCTATGTGGGAGGCTGAGGCAGAAGGATTGCTTGAGCCCAGGAGTTCAAGGCTGCAGTGAGCTATGATTGGGCCGCTGCACCCTAGGCTGGGTGACAGAGCCAGACCTTGTCTAAGAAAAACCTCCCAAACCAAACAAACATCATTAAGGCTGCAGAGTGGAGAACATACCATAGCCCATAGCACTGTGGGTGGGAGTTTGTGGGGGCATGTGTGGCTTGGACCAGTGGGGCTACAGGCAGTAGGACGCAGACTGGTTTGAAACATGGAGGCATGCCTTTTGATGAGTTGGGAAGAGGACTGACATTCCTGTACCCACTTCACATATGGAGAGACTGCAACTCAGAGGCAGTCCCTGCACATGGGGGACTATTGTCCACTTTTCAGATGTAGAAGTTGAGAGGGGGAGGAATTTGTCCGAGTAGATGCAGCTAAGGCTGAATGTTGGTCTCCAGGGCACCCTCCACTCCTGGACTGTCTGCCTTTGTAGGTGTGGCTGGGACTACTCACCGCCTGCCTTTTGCAGACAGGGAAATGGAGACTCAAAGAAGAACAATACTCATAGCGGTGAGCCCGCGATAGAACCCAGGGCCCCTGGTACAAAGTCTAGATTCTCGGTGTCCCTGCTGTAGTCCCTGCCCGCCTTCCTGGCATAGCTATAGAGAGAAGATGAATGTAGCAGAACTCACAAGAGGACAATAATGAACATGGTACCTAATCACACGCTTGCACACTCGGTGCTATGGACGCCCGGGGACAGGGGAAAGATGAGGAGGCTCAGATGTTTGTGGGGAAGTGGGTACGCCCCTGTCTGCCTCCTGCCTGGCTTGATGCCCACAGTGGGTGGGTGTGTATGTGTGCATGTGTATGTGATGGTGCGTGTGCATGCCTGTATAATTGTACATGTGAATGTGGGAGTGTGGTACCCAAAGGAACTCTGTCGCTTCCCCTGGAATGCTGGGCACCAGGGGCACTCGGTGTACCCAGCTACCTGCCTGTTCAGACCCAGTGTGCCCTCACTTCTCTGTCCACTTATCTGCAGAGACCTCTTGGCTTCTGTGCCTTATCTTTAGGCCCTGCTTAGCTTCTCGATGAAAAAATAATTAACCATAGCCTCATTTTCCAAGGCGTCCATCCCGCTCTGCTGGCCAAGTTAAAAATATTCACGAGGAGTAGGGCTGCTGGTGGGAGGAGCTGCCGCTCTGCGTGGGAGGGCAACCAAGGCCACAGAGAGGGGAAGGACGTATTGAAAGGGAGGTCTGGTGTGTGCCTGGACTCGGGGCTTGGAGAGGACAGAGGCCAGGGGCTGGGCTCCGGCCTATTCCCATTGTGGCCTCGCTGTGTGAATTTGGGCAAGTTCCTTGCCCTCTCTGAGCTCTGCTTCCTCCTTTGTTAATTGAGGAATTTGCACTAGAATTCAGTTCTCCCAAAGCATTTCTTCTGCATGTAAACAGGTGACACCCAAAACAAAAACAAATGTACAACAAATGCAAACCAAAAAAAGGCTGTGGTTAATTAAGTTTGGAAAAGGACACCAGGATATATAAAGTTAAATCTGTTTCTTTACTGCTGGGGCTTTTTTTTTTTTTTTTTTTTTTTTTGAGGGGGAGTCTCATTCTGTTGCCCGGGCTGCTGGAGTGCAGTGGCACGATATCACTGCAACCTCCGCCTCCTGGGTTCAAGCGATTCTCGTGCCTCAGCCTCCCGAGTAGCTGGGATTACAGACGCGCACTACCACGTCTAGCTAATTTTTATATTTTTAGTAGAGATGGGGTTTCGCCATATTGGTCAGGCTGGTCTCGAACTCCTGACCTCAGGTGATCCACTCGCCTCGGTCTCCCAAAGTGTCGGGATTCCAGGCATGAGCCACCGCCCCCGGCCTTAATTTAAGCAGGGCTTTTCAGAGCCTTTATTGATTGAAACCTTAATTCTTTGGATAAGTAATACATATGTCCACGGCATCTAATTCAGAAGTTGTGGAAGGCGATTAGGGAGCTCACACCTCTTTCCTGTACCGGTTGTGCCTCCTCTGTTCCTCCCTGGCAGCAGGTACCTGGCAGCTTCTAATGCATAGCGAGACTGTATCGCATGCACCAGCAGATACCGTGTAGACTCGGCCAGTATCATGGTAAGACACCACCGGCCTCCCAGGCAGGAGCGGGAGTATGGATGGCTAGTCACAGCCCGCCCCCAGCATCTCTGGGACCAACACCTGGAGGAATACCCTTTGAGAATTGTGGGGTCCCTGGTCCTCAAGTGCCACGGGAGTTTGCGTAAGAGGGGAGTTGGCAGTGCTGCCCTGCAGGTTCAGACCCCCATCTTGCAGAAAGCCCCCATGACCTCTGCCCATTGCTGTCCCCCGCGGGGCTGTCCTGCGCTCCAGGGAAGCTCCCGCGCCCGCAGTGCATGTGGGGACCCGAGAAGGGCAAGCCCAGCTTGAGTGCCCGCGGGCTGCGCCGGGCGTGAGCGGCTAGCCCCGCACGGGCGGGCGCGCTGTGGGCGTGGGGAGGCGATGCGCGTGGCCCGGGGAAGGTGTGTCGCGGCGCGCGGGGGGTGTGAGCGCGCCTGCCCGCCCCCGCCCCGCCCAGAGGCCGGGCAGGTGTGGGCGGGCGGCCAGGACCCCGCCGAGCCGGGCTGGAGAGCCGGCGGGAAACAGGAAGCAGGGGGAGGCGCAGCCGGACGGCCGGGAGGGAGGGCGTGCAGACGGACGCGCGGGGTGGCCGGGGGCCGGACGCACGACCCGGGGCGGGCGGCAATGTGGGGAGGCCCGGGCAGCCCAGGAGGCTGCGGGGACGGGGGCGGAGCCGGGGGCGCCACGGGCACCGCCCCCCTGCGCCGGCGGAGCCGCCGCCCGAGTGCGGACCCGGGAGCCCGAGGCGACTGTAGCGTGCGGGGTGAGTCGCGGGGAGCTCGGGGCGCGCCCCCGACGGCGGGTCTGCGGACGACGCCCCGGGGGTGCTTGGCCGCACATCTAGCCCTAGGGAGCCCTGGTCGACCCCCGTGCGCCTCTTGCCCGCAGACCCTGAGGACACGGCCATGCCGGGCCGGGCGGAGGCGGGGGAGGCCGAGGAGGAGGCCGGGGCCGGCTCGGGGTCTGAGGCGGAGGAGGACGCGCTGTGGGAGCGAATCGAGGGCGTCCGGCATCGGCTGGCTCGCGCCCTGAACCCGGCCAAGCTCACGCCGTATCTGCGCCAGTGCCGGGTCATCGACGAGCAGGACGAGGAGGAGGTGCTGAGCACCTACCGCTTCCCGTGCCGCGTCAACCGCACCGGTGAGCCGCGGGTCCCGAGTGGGCCACGACCTGGGCCGGCCGTGCCCTGGGGCGCAGCGCCCACAGCCGTGTAGCGCGAAGCTAGGGCTCTGCTGCCCTGGGGCTCGGTCTCCGCATCAGTAGAGTGGGCCGGCTGGGTATGCCCACCAGCCTGCCTCCTCCCCACCCACCACTGCGCCTTGGCGGTCCGCGTTGCCCACACCGGGGTCAGAGTTTTGTCTCTTGGGGTTCTCTCCCACTTCCTGGGTCCACATTAGAGCAGAAGGTTGGATGTGGCTGCCAGGGCCGGCTGGGCCTGGGACCTCCCGGTCACAGCCGGTGGACTTGGCACCTTTCCTGCGCTCTTTGATCTCCGAGTTCTGTCTGTCCCCTCCTCTGTGCACCATACACTCCTGGGGGAGTCCTTTTTCAAGTGTCAAGATCCGTCTCAGCTTTACGTGGGTCCCCACTCCCACAGGGTGTGCCTTTGAACCAGAACTCAAAAAGGCATGATGGAATGGTCTTTAATGGTGGAATTTCAGGCATGGCCAATGGGAGAAGTATTTTCTTTGCTTCTGGGGATAGAGGGGGCTTCTCTGTGCCATTGAAAAGGCAGGCTGCATTTGCGGGCCGGCATCTGTGTCTGTGGGGGGTGTTGGGGAGCTCTGGGAGCCCAGGAGTCATGAGGGAATGTGCTCCCCTGGCTGTGGCAGAATGGCTCTCTTCTCTTCCCTGATGTGTTGGGACAGGCCCCTGTGTGTGTCACTGGCTCAAAAATCTGGGGAACGTGGGCCTGGAGCATGGTGGGGGCAGAAGCAACCAGGCACCTGGGGAGGCCTTCCCCTAGACCCTGGGTACATCCCCCCACTACTCTGTAGGGCGCCTGATGGACATCTTGCGCTGCCGTGGCAAGAGGGGCTATGAGGCCTTCCTGGAAGCCCTGGAGTTCTACTACCCCGAACACTTCACGCTGCTCACGGGCCAGGAACCCGCCCAGCGCTGCTCCATGATCCTCGGTGAGTGGATCTGCGGTGGATGCTGGCACCTCGGACTCCAGTGCACAGGCTCCTTTCCCCATCCCTGTTAGGGAGGCGCTCCCACTATGCCTGTTGAACAGTAAGGGAAACTGAGGCATGGAGAGGCTGAAGGGGCTTGCCCAGGGCCCCACGGTAGGCTGAGGGTGGGGCTGGGTGCTAGTGCCGTTATTCCAAGTTCAGAGCCACATGCTTAAGATGGCTCTTTCTTCGTGATACTGTTTTCAGACATATGTCTGACATACACAGATGTATAGTTTTTTATGTAAAAAAATACAGAGGCTCCAGGTGACTTTGAATTTTTTTTTTTTTGAGACAGTGTCTTGCTCTGTCACCAGGCTGGAGTGCAGTGGCGCGATCTCAGCTCACTGCAACCTCCGCCTCCCAGGTTCAAGCGATTCTCCTGCCTCAGCCTCCCGAGTAGCTGGGATTACAGGCATGGGCCACCACGCCCTGCTAATTTTTGTATTTTTATTTTTAATAGAGATGGGGTTTCATCATGTTGGCCAGGATGGTCTTGATTTCCTGACCTTGTGATCCGCCTGCCTCGGCCTCCCAGAGTGCTGGGATTACAGGCGTGAGCCACTGCGCCTAGCTGAATTTTTTTATATAAAAAACACAAACACATACACACACGCACACACGCCTACGTGTGTATTTTGCTTTTTCTTAGAACAACTGATTTTAGTGATTCTTTCACCTCTGTTACATACACTTGTTTTAAGTGACTGCATACTGTTCATTAGTGAAGTTAGGACATAATTCATTTAACCCATTTCCAGTTGATGGATACCTAGGTTTCCAGTTTTGTATTATTACAACGATACGGGAACATCCTTGTATGTGCGTCTTTGTGCAAATGTGTCTCAGGCGAAGAGGTTCTGAGAAGAATTTCTCAAAGAGTCTGTGTATTTTAACTGTTAAATCAACATACCTCCTACCAGGAATGTGTAAGGGCCCATTTGAATCCTGGGGATCATGTTTAAACGTTTTTACCATTCTGATATGTAAAAAATAATGTTATTGTTTTAAGTTTATATTTCATTGAGTGATACAGTTCACAGGTTACTAGTTATTAAACCTTGGGTAAATAACTGCTCTGTGCTTCAGTTTTTCTGTCTTTAAGATGGGTACAATAATAGTACCTACCTTACAGTGTTGTCATAAAGATTAAGATATATCTAGCACAAAGAATGAAGTTAACAAATATTAGTAGCTACTGTAATTATTGTTGATAGGTTGGTGCATATTTTCCTGTATTTATTAACTATTTTTATTTTGGGACTTGCCTATTGATAGTTTTTGTCCATATTTTTATTTGGTTGTTGATCTTATTGATTTGTAGGAGCTCTTTATATATTACGGCTCTGAGTTCTTGTTATATTTTCTCCCACTCTGTTGCTTATTAACTTTGTTACATCTTTCATTTTTCAAAGGTTTAAACATTTTTATATGGATTTGTCCATCTTTTTTCTCTTATAACTCCTGGATTTTGTGTGTTGTTTAGGAAGACCTCCCCTGCTCCCAATTCTACAAATATATTCCAGAATTTCCCTCTAGTGTTTTTATGGTTTGAGTTTTTTGACACAGTATGTTATCTCCTGGATTTTACTTGCCTGAGCTGCCTATTCTGTCCCCTGTTCTGTCCTGGCAGATGAGGAGGGGCCTGAGGGCCTGACCCAATTCTTGATGACAGAGGTGCGACGGCTGCGGGAAGCTCGCAAGAGCCAGCTGCAGCGGGAGCAGCAACTGCAGGCCCGGGGCCGGGTGCTCGAGGAGGAGCGGGCAGGGCTGGAGCAGCGGCTGCGGGACCAGCAGCAGGCTCAGGAGCGCTGTCAACGGCTGCGGGAGGACTGGGAGGCGGGCAGCCTGGAGCTGCTGCGGCTCAAGGATGAGAACTACATGATCGCCATGCGCCTGGCACAGCTCAGTGAGGAGAAGAACTCGGCTGTACTTCGCAGCCGTGACCTGCAGCTGGCGGTAGGCCCTGGGGAGATGGGTCGGGGAGGCAAGGGAAGGGGCAGCTTTTGCAATGTAGTAGCCAGCCAGCCTGTGTCCCAGAGCCACCATTGCTGGCTCTTTGACGTGGATAAGTCCTTTTAGTGCTCGGTGTACCTACTTCATTGGGTTATGACTGTGGTTCTCAATGGGGGGTGATTCTGACCCCCTAGAAACATCTGGCCATGTCTAGGAAATATTTCTGGTTGTCACAATTAGTGGGGATTTATTGGCATCTGGTGTGTAGAGGCCAGGGATGCTGTCAAACGCCCTGCAGGGCACAGGACAGTCCCCAGCAAAGAATTACCTAGCCTAAAACATCGGTAGGGCCGGGGCCAAGAAACACTGGGTTATGAGGATTTGATAAGTTGTTTTTTTTTTTTTTTTTTTTGAGATGGAGTCTCACCCTTGTTGCCCAGGCTGGAGTGCAGTGGTGTGATCTCGGCTCCTTGCAGCCTCTGCCTCCCGGGTTCCAGCGATTCTCCTGCCTCAGCTTCCCGGGTAGCTGGGATTACAGGCTCGTGCCACCACACCCAGCTAATTTTTGTATTTTTAGTAGAGATGGGGTTTCACCATGTTGACCCGGCTGGTCTCGAACTCCTGACCTCAGGTGATCTGCCCGCCTCGGCCTCCCAAAGTGCTGGGATTACAGGCGTGAGCCACCGTACCTGGCCCGGTGAGTTTAAGACACAGTTTCAAACATGTACAGTCCCTAGCACACTGCTCACAACTTGTGTCATCAGTAGCCATTGTTGATATTATTATCAAGAGACACATAGGTTAAACATCATGTCTTCTAATCCTCACCAAAGCACCATACGCCAAGCCCTCATTTGCAAATACAGACTCTGAGACTCAGATTAGTGAAAGGACTTGCTCAAGGTCACAGAGCCAGGAAGCGGCACAGCCTGGATTTGAACCGGGTCCGGCTGGCTCCAGTGCCAGCCCCCTTCCCACGCTGCTGTTCCGCCTACTCCCTGTGTGGGGAAGTCTCACCTGACTCCCTCCAGCAGCAAGTGAGGCTGTGCCTCCTACTGCATCTCACTTTCTTGGTTTCTGACTGGGACTCAGCAGGGGGATAATACCAGTATTTGACTGCCACAGGGCGTTGTTCCAAGGATTTAATGAGCTGATCCACGTCAAGGGCTTAGCAGTGCAGGCCGCACGGCACGCAGGAGGCTCTCTCCAGCCATGTTGCTCGAGGCTGCACAGTGGGTTCTGACCGTGGAGTTTGAAGCCTCCCTACCCCAGGAGCCTTGGGCCGTGGCTACAGCATTGCAGGTGGCTGTGAGGCTGTAGATGTGGGTGCACTGGTGTGCCAGTCCTCGGTTTGTGCACGCCAGGTGGGTCGATATCTTGGGGAGGTGAGCCCTGATGGGGGTGTTGAGGCCACCAGTTGAAGGGTCCAGGCTGCTGGTCCTGCTTGAGGATGTAGGTGGCTGGTTTGAGGTTGTGAGATGACCTTGAGGCTATCGTTCGAGGGCCTGGTTGGTGTGTGGCAGGAGACGGAGGCTTTCTGAGGAGTGATGGGCAGGGACAGGGACATGTCCCAGGCCTGCTCTACTGTGAAAAACCATGTGGCATGGGGAAGGCTTTCCTTTCTGTGCCTCAGTTTCCTCATCCTCATCACAGATAAGGATGATGTAACAATTATAAAACGGCCTTGTGCTTTATAGATACCATCCTCAGTGCTTGCCATGCACAGACCCCTTTAATTTTCCAGCCACCCTACGCTGGGGTGGACAACACTATCTTCCCCATTTCTAGAGGAGGAAACTGAGGCACAGAGAAGTTGGTTAGAGCACTTTCCCAATGTCCTGGGATTGAAGGAATTTTTTTTTTTTTTTTTTTGAGATGGAGTCTTGCTTTGTTACCCAGGCTTGAGTGCAGTGGTGAGATCTTTGCTCACTGCAACCTCTGCCTCCCACGTTCAAGCGATTCTCCTGCCTCAGCCTCCTGAGTAGCTGGGATTACAGGTGTGTGCCACCATGCCTGGCTAATTTTTTTTTTGTATTTTTAGTAGAGATGGGGTTTCACCATGTTAGCCAGGCTGGTGTCAAACTCCTGACCTCAGGCGATCTGCCCGCCTCAGCCTCCCAAAGTGCTGGATTACAGGCATGAGCCACTGTGTTCAGCCGGATTGAAGGATTTCTGAGTTGGCTCTCAGCACTGCTGAGGGGCGGTGGCTGGCAGGTAGGAGTGCTCCCCTTTCTTTACCCAGAGGGCTTCCCCTTTTTTCTGAAACAGACATGGGGCTTGCTGTAGGGTTTTCTCAGAAGAAATAATTTACTGCTTAGAGAGGACGGCGTGAGGGCTGCAGGCTGGGGGTACTGGGAGGGGCTGCAGCCCTCACGGCTTGTCCCACCTTTGGGTTGGGTGTGATGCGATTGGGAGATGTCCTGCGTGTGTGGCCATCTGGGGGCTGCTGGGACAGGGGAGGGGGATGGAAAAGAGATGGTCGGAGGTGCCTCTGTAGTCTGCAGGTCATCTGCCTCTACGCAGAGTGGCTGCTTTTTCCTATTTTAGGGACCTAAGAAGTGAAATTGGCCAGGCGCAGTGGCTCATGCCTGTAATCCCAGCACTTTGGGAGGCTGAGGCGGGTGGATCATGAGGTCAGAAGATTGAGACCATCCCGGCTAACGTGGTGAAACCCCGTCTGTACTAAAAATACAAAAAATTAGCCGGGCGTGGTGGCATGCACCTGTGGTCTCAGGGACTCGGGAGGCTGAGGCAGGAGAATTGCTTGAACCCGGGAGGTGGAGGTTGCAGTGAGTCAAGATTGAGCCACTGCACTCCAGCTTGGGCGACACAGCGAGACTCTGTCTCAAAAAACAACAACAAAAAAAGAAGTGAAATTAAACTTAGCTACTATAAATTTACCTTAATTTATAATTTATGTTTGGAGCTTTTCTGCTCCAAAATTAACAAAGGTGTTGCAGATGGATCTGAACAGAGCACCTGATCGTGCCTGGCTTGGCGGCTTGCATCCCCACCTCCCATAGGCAGGTGTGTGGCGGCTGGGATTTAATACCCTGTTTTATAAGGTGCAAATTTAATGAGCTGTTATTTCTAAGCAACATAAACTGAAGGAACGAACGCTATAATTTTGTGCTCAGTGAGTTTGTACGCCGGGATTAAATGCATCCGTATTTCCTGTTGCTCGTCGGAGACTCCCAGGTGTCCTGTCCTCTGAGCTCATCAGGGAAGCCGGCTGGCCAGGGGTCAGGCAGGAGGCCCTGGTGTGTGGCTGCGGTTTGCTGAGAGGGTGTGACCACAGTTGTCCTTGTAACGAGCTGTCTTTCTCTGGCTGTTCACAAAGCATGTTTTGTGAGTGGAAAGGAATGCGGGAGTCATGAATTTCTTTCTGAGTCTCTTGCGGAGGAGGAGGAGTGGACTGTTAATTTGTAGAATTGCCTGACCCAGCCTCCAGACCCGTGTGTGTGTGTGTGTGTGTGTGTGTGTGTGTGTGTGTGTGTGTGTGTGTGTGTGGAGGGGGGGCTGCCATTCTAACCTCTCAAGGCTGGGGAACTAGCAAGTCACTTTCCAAGAGAGGCCAGGGGACTCCTAGGGCACCAAATATTGCATGCCTGACTGTAGCACCAGAAGTCATTGTGACCTTTTCCCAACAATGACTTCATTTTATGGCCTGCCACCTGCTGCCACTCTTGTCACTGTCTGGCCACCTCAGACCCCACATGCGTCACGCTTGGCTGAGTGCACTCATAGTCCAGCAAACTGGCCATGCACGTCTGCTCCCAGCTTGGTGGTCACACCACAGCTGCCCACCCCCCATACCAGGCCAACTTCTGGCTGCACACTCCGAACTGGTGATTGGTTAGGGGCATGGGATTTTGTTTGAAGCTGTGAAGACAGCCACGGTCACACTGTGGCAGCTCTGTAGCCCTTCATAGTTTAGAGGCCTCTGCCCACTTGCTGTCTTGTTTGATTCTTGCAACACCTTTGGGAGGCAAATGATGGGGCCAGGGGATTGACTGGGCCCATTTTACTGATGAGGAAACTGAGGCCCAGAGGAGGTAAGTGACTTGCTCAGGATGACAGAGCCTAGAAGTAGCAAAATTGAAACCTGAACCCTGGAACTGGAGCTCTTGAGGGAGATGAACCAACAGCCAAATCTTCTGGAGTGGAGGCTTTGTTAGGAATTCCTTTCAGGGTGGACCAGACCAAGTCTGAGTCTCTGAGAGTGTGTTGAGGTGAGATGTTGGCTTGTTGCGGGGAGCATCTGGTTCCCGGACTGGATGAGTCCCTCAACTCTCAAAACCATTGCCCTCTCCTCTCCCCTCACACCCCCCCCGTACAGATGAGATGATTGAGGCACAGAGAGGGGCCATGACTTGCCCAGGGTCACACTGAGCTAGAGACGGAGCTGGGGTCTGACCCTGTTTTTTTTTTTTTTCTCCTTCTTTCTTTCTTCTTTCTTCCTTCTTCCTTCTTTCCTCCTCCCACTCTGCCCTCCTCCCGCCTCCTCCTTCTCCTTCTCCTCCTCCTCCTTCTCCTTCTACCTCTTCCCCCTCCCTCCTCCTCCCCTCCTCCTCCTCACCCCCTTCTCCTTCTTCTTCTTTTTTTTTTTTTTTTTTTTGAGACAGGGTCTCGCTCTGTTGCCCAGGCTGGAGTGCAGTGGCACGATTATGGTTCACTGCAGCCTCAACCTCCCAAAGCTCAAGTGATTCTCCCGCTTCAGCCTCCTGAGTAGCTGGGATAATAGGCGCGCACCACCACACCCAACTAATGTTTTAAATTTTTTTTGTCGAGACGAGGTCTCACTGTGTTAACTAGGCTAGTCTCCATCTGCCCGCCTCGGCCTTCTAAAGTGTTAGGCCTGGTTTCCCTTATTCTTTTTTTTTTTTTTTTTTTTGAGACAGAGTCTTGCTCTGCTGCCCAGGCTGGAGTGTAGCGGCGCAATCTTGGCTCACTGTAACCTCCATCTCCTGGGTTCAAATGATTCTCGTGCCTCAATCTCCCTAGTAGCTGGGACTACAGGCATGTGCCACCACGCCCAGCTCATTTTTGTATTTTTAGTAGAGACGGGGTTTCACCATGTTGGTCAGGCTGGTCTCAAACTCCTGACCTCAGGTGATCCACTGAGGGCCCGCCTCAGCCTCCCAAAGTGCTGGGATTACAGGCGTGAGCCACTGTGCCTGGCCCCACTTCTTCTTGATGCGGCCCTCCTCCTTTTCTGCCATGAGAATACTGGGCTAAATTGACGGGAGTCAGTGTCAGAAGTGCGGGACAGACAGCGTGTCGTGATGCAGCATGTCCGCCCACAAGTTCTTAGAGTGGATTCCCCTGGGAGGGTGTCCTTGGCCTTGCTACCCACTGCTCCTTCCTCAGCCCTGTTTGTTTTATATCTGTCCAGCCTGTCCTGTTTTCATAGACAAGCCTGGGGAGGACTCCTGCTTCGGCTTCTCTGGGAATCTGGGAGGCACCCAGGAGTGAGGGAGCAGGTCTTCCCACCCCTGTAACCCGTGGCTCCCAGTGTGTCTCCCTCTGGGCTGACCCATGTCTTGGGCTCCAGGTGGATCAGCTCAAGCTCAAAGTGAGTCGGCTGGAGGAAGAGTGTGCACTGCTTCGAAGGGCCAGGGGCCCGCCCCCTGGGGCAGAGGAGAAGGAGAAGGAGAAGGAGAAGGAGAAGGAGCCAGACAATGTGGACCTTGTCTCTGAGCTGCGTGCTGAGAACCAGCGGCTGACGGCGTCACTGCGGGAGTTGCAGGAGGGCCTGCAGCAGGTACCAGGGCCAGGGCTTGTGGGCACAGGCTGGGGGGTGGTCAGGAGGGCCTGCAGCAGGTACTGGGGCTTGTGGGCACAGGCTGCGGGGTGGGGGATCAGGAAGGCCTGCAGCAGGTAGCAGGGCCAGGGCTTCTGGGCACAGGCTGGGTAGCGGGGCTCAGGAGGGCCTGCAGCAGGTACCAGGGCTGGGGCCCATGGGCACGGGGGTGGGGGGTGGTCAGGAGGGCCTGCGGTAGGTACCAGGGCTGGGGCTTGTGGGCACAGGCTGGCAGGAGGTCAGGAGGGCCTGCAGCAGGTACCAGGGCTGGGGCCCATGGGCACGGGGGTGGGGGGTGGTCAGGAGGGCCTGCGGTAGGTACCAGGGCTGGGGCTTGTGGGCACAGGCTGGCAGGAGGTCAGGAGGGCCTGCAGCAGGTACCAGGGCTGGGGCCCATGGGCATGGGGGTCGGGGGAGGTCAGAAGGACCTGCAGCAGGTACCAGGGCTGGGCCTCGTGGCCATGGGGGTTGAGGGGGGGTCAGGAGGGCCTGCAGCAGGTACCAGGGCCAGCGTTCATGGGCACAGGCTGCGGGGAGGTCAGGAGGGCCTGCAGCAGGTACTAGGGCCAGGGCTCGTGGACATGGAGTGGGGGTGGGGGTCAGACCCGGAAAACAGGCCCTCTTGCTGTTTGCTTATCCTCCCAAGGCCTGGGAAGCTGAGGATTTCAGAACCAGGGATCTGAGATCTGGATGGAGTCCCGGTAGCCTCTTGCCTGAAGCTCTGAGCTGAGGGCCCTTAGCACGTGGCTGTCCCTGGTTGTCTGGTCTAGGGTGTGTGAGCAGCCTCCAGAAGGTCCTCAAACTCCCTAAAACTGCCCCCCTGATTTTGAGTGTGAGCATTTTTCTGGGGAAAGGGCCCCAGCTTTAATTTGATTTGTAGAGGGTGTGGCCTGGGGGCCCTAGGGCTTGCTTAGTGTCCTGCGGCAGGTCAGTGGCAGGTCAGCAGCTGCATGGGCCTGCCTCCTGGCCATTGTTCCACACAGGAAGTGGGGGATGAGAGCCAGTGTGTTTCATGGGGTTGGGGCACTTGGCTGGGGTGTGGGTCTGGGGGCAAGATCTTGGGCCCAGGGTCTACCTGTATGGGCCAGGCTCAGCCCCTTGAAGACCCCTAGTCATGGGGGTGGGAGTAGGTCTTGGGAATGGCCTCCGTCTGCTGCCCTGGATGGTGGGTGAGGGCCAGAGCACGAGTGTGTGCCTGGTGCTTGTTTAGGAATAATCCTGGGTGAACTTGTCCAGTCACACCCTTCTCCACTTAGCTTATTAGCTTACTTGTACCCCAGATACTCCCTGGAGGGTGGGTAGGGCTTGTGGGGCCACACCCACTCTGCCGATGGGGAGACAGAGATCCAGAGAGGGTCGAGGCCCCGGGCCAGCATGGCAGAGCTGGTCAGGTGGGTTTGGAGGGCTGAGAGCTGCGTGTCCCCTTCCTTCCCACACCCAGGGTGGGCCCCTAGCCAGACCCTGAGGTGGCCCTGCCCTGTGATCCCCAGGAGGCGAGCCGGCCGGGGGCCCCGGGCTCCGAGCGCATCCTGCTGGACATCCTAGAGCATGACTGGCGGGAGGCGCAGGACAGCAGGCAGGAGCTGTGCCAGAAGCTGCATGCCGTGCAGGGGGAGCTGCAGTGGGCCGAGGAGCTGCGCGACCAGGTGGGGCCCTGCCCGTGCCCTGCCCCTTGTGCGGGAGGGTGTCAGGCAGGGCCTGTGTGCTCACGCCTTCCCTGAGCATCTGCTTGACGCAGGCGCCGCGCTGAGAACTGCATTCATTTGTTCTCAGATGTTGACGGAGGCACCCTTCTAGGCGCTTGAGATGCCGCAGTGAGCAAAACAAAGGTGCCTTTTCCTTGAGGGGGAACTCCAGCAGGGGAGACTGGCAGTATGTGAGATACACAGTCCCACGTCAGCTATTTCATGTAGTCAAAGGCGATGAGCACCGTGGGAGATGCAGAGCTGGGGAAGGGGCCGGTTGCAGTTTGAGTGGGGAGGCCAAGGGTGGCCGGATGGGTGAAATGATGATCATTCTTCTCGTTTTACAGATTAGGCAGTTGAGGGCCTGTGAGGTAAAGTCAGTGGCTCAGACCACTCCACTGGGCAGGAGGGGACTTGTTATTGGGTCTCAGACTGTTGGTGAGCGTCTCTCACTGGCCCTCCTGGGCACCTGCTGGTTAGCTTTCTCATGGTCCCCAGCCCTGTGGTCTGACCCCGCCCCGTGCCACCCTCAGTACCTGCAGGAGATGGAAGACCTGCGGCTCAAGCACCGCACGCTGCAGAAGGACTGTGACCTGTACAAGCACCGCATGGCCACTGTCCTGGCCCAACTGGAGGAGATTGAGAAGGAGCGAGACCAGGTGAGCCCAGCCTGCGTGTACGAGGCCCTGGGCCAGTTGCTGCTTCCCATATGGGAGGAGACAAGGAGCAATGGAGGGGACTAGAATGGTAGAAAGAGACGTTAGCCGCTCCCTGTTGGGTTAGGACGGGGCACAAAGGCTGGGGGAACCAGACAGGAGACCTGGAGCCCTTGAGATACCAGCCTTACACCCTGGACCCACTGGCCTCATCTGAGCTCCTGTGGCAGTTACAGAAGCTGGTCCTGGTGTCTTCATTTTTGAATCCCTTGTTCTGTCCATCTCAAAGACAAGGCCAGCACAGAGGGAGTGCTTACAAATAGAAGCCGATGAAGAAATTCTCAAAAGTTTTGGCTTTCAGTCCCTGGGCACTATGACCCTTGTCTCCTGCCAAGGTTGTGGGGTGGGCTGAGGACCTCCGGCCAGTGCCACCAGGCCCCCGAGCCTCCTTGTGTGAGGTTCCATCTGCAGCGGGGAAGGGCAGGAGGTTTTTGTCCTTAACCAGGTGTGAATCCCACTAGAGGAGTTGAAGTCTGTATATTATTGTTGTTATTACTTTTTGAGACTGAATCTAGCTCTGTTGCCCAGGTTGGAGTGCAGTGGTGCAATCTCAGCTCACTGAGGCCTCCCAGATTCAAGTGATTCTCCTGCCTCAGCCTCCCAAGTAGCTGGTATTACAGGCATGCCACCATTCCTGGCTAATTTTTGTATCTTTAGTAGAGACAGGGTTTCACTATATTGACCAGGCTGGTCTTGAACTCCTGGGCTCAACTGATCCACCTGCCTCAGCCTCCCAAAGTGCTGGGATCAAAGGCATGAGCTCCCATGCCCAGCCGAAGTCTGCATATTAGAAATGCCCTCAGAATCCCCTGGCAAGCTTGAAAGTGCAAATTTGGGGCTTCATTCTCTGGACGTTCTGATTCAGGTGGTCTGGGGTGGGCCCCAGGAATCTGCATTTTATGGGGCTGCCCCCGGCTCTCTCTGAGGCATGGGTGACAGGTCTGGACCATGGGCCCAGCTCTGGAGCCCCTGGTCTTCACTGTGGATGCAGTGGGCTGGGTTTGACTCCTGGCTTCTCCACTGACTGGGATGCTGGGAGTGAAGCCCCTGGCACACAGCAGGTCTCGTGGAAAAGTTTTCAGTTCTTGGTGAAATGGTGAGAGCCTGGATTCTGCAGATGGACTGCCCGATTTGAATCCCAGCTCTGTCGCTCCTGGCTTGGTTTCCCCAGTCTGCAGAATGAGAATAATGATATTAATAGTATCTAACTTAGCCAGTTAGTGTGAAGATATTTAAATGAGCTGATAATTTAGCTCAGGGCCCGGCACACAGTGCTCAGTAAGTGATAGCTGCCATTCTCCTTACTGTCCCCATTCTCCAAGTCATAGGCCAGGAAAGCTGGGCCAAGGTGGCTCCTTCAGCTGCTGCCTCCCCTCCCCCAACCCTAGGCCATCCAGAGCCGTGACCGGATCCAGTTGCAGTACTCACAGAGCCTCATCGAGAAGGACCAGTACCGCAAGCAGGTGCGGGGCCTGGAGGCGGAGCGGGATGAGCTGCTGACAACGCTCACCAGCCTGGAGGGCACCAAGGCTCTGCTGGAGGTTCAGCTGCAGCGGGCCCAGGGTGGCACCTGCCTCAAGGTGAGCGGGTCAAGATTGTGGAGGTCCTGGCAGGAAGGCTGGGGTCCTGGCAGGAGCTCTTGGCCAGGGCTGGGAACGTGCCGGCCCTGGTGGGAGACCTCAGCCAGGGGAGGAAGCTTGGGGGAAGTGGGAAGAGTCCTCAGTTAGGGGCGGGAACTTGAACCCAGGCTGGGCTGGGTGTGGGCTGGTGAGCAGGCGGAGGGGCATGTTGGTCTCTGAGTTTCTGGGGTTGCTTCTGGGACACTAAGAATAGTTTGGAGCTGGTCTTTGCATTTAACTGGGGAAGGCTGGCTGCCTGAGTGCCTGTGTGCATGTTAGAATGCAAAACCTGGGCCTCAGAGACCAGCTAGTCAGGACTAACATGGGCCTAAGCATCCCTCAGAGACCAGCTGGTCTAATCCTCTCATCGCACAGGGCCCAGAGAGGGTGAGGGGCTTGCCCAAGGCCACACAGCCAGCTAGCACTGGAGCTGGAGTCCCAGACCCACTGTAAATTGGATCGTGGTCCTCAGGCTGCTGCCGGGAGCTCTGCTTTTTCCTTTTTTTTTTTTTTTTGAGACAGAATCTTGCTGTATCACCCAGGCTGGATCCCAGGTTCAAGTTATTCTCGTGCCTTAGCCTCCCTAGTAGCTGGGACTACAGGTGCCTGCCACCATACCCAGCTAAGTTTTTTTTTGTATTTTCAGTAGGGATGGGGGTTTCACCATGTTGGCCAGGCTGGTTTCAAACTCCTGACCTCAAGGGATCCTCCTGCCTCAGCCTCCCAAAGTGCTGGGATTAGAGGTGCGAACGCCCAGCCTGCGTTTTCTTATTTTGAGTTGCCTGACAGTGAGCTCCGCAGGCCTGGTGTTTGAAGCACTGGGGCCTGGAGGAATATAGGAAAAGTCAGCATTAATCCAAGACTTTTTTTTTTTTTTAACCCCCAGTGGCTTTTTTGCTGTTTGGTAAAGACAGAGTCCCTTTTCATGGCCAAGAGGCCCTGCGGGTGGGGTTCCTCTTGTCCTCTCGCCTGGTTCTGTGGGTTCCAGTCTTTCAACTGGAATGCATCACAGTCCTGCCTCAGGGCCTTTGCACATGCTGTTGATCTGCCTGGACCATCCCAGCTTGACCTACTTAGCGCCTCTATACCCTTGAGTTCTCAGTTCAAACCACAGTTTCTTTGGAGAGTACTTGGACTCCCAGGCTGGGTGGGGTCTTTGTGTGTTTTCCATGCCCTGGGCACCTTCCTTCTGCTATTGTCTCAGCTTGGGGCTATTTTGTTCACATGTCTGCTGGTTTACAGTTTATCTCCCATTCTAGGCTGTGAGCTCCCTGAGGACAGGGATCTGTCCCTGTGCTGGCACATGGCAGGTGCTCAGTAAAGGACTGTGGTTGACGTGGGCCTAGCACTGCTCACCTCCTTCCTCTCCTCTCCCTCTTCCAGGCCTGTGCCTCCTCCCATTCCCTGTGCTCCAACCTCAGCAGCACTTGGAGCCTGAGCGAGTTCCCCTCCCCTCTGGGAGGCCCAGAAGCAACTGGGGAGGCAGCTGTCATGGGGGGACCTGAGCCTCACAACTCGGTAAGACAACTGCCCCATCCCAAATAAGGGGGGACACTGCTATAGCATTATTACTAATGTGGAGAGTGCTTTCTGAAGGATCCATTTCACAGGTGAGGACACTGAGGCGCAGGGAGGCCAAGTACTTTACTGAAGCTCACCCAGAACCATTTCCTTGCCAGGCATAGGTGCCAGGAGGCGTGGGGAGCCACCCGCACACTATAATCTTGCAGAGCCCGCTCTTCTGCTCTGGGCCCTACTTCTCATTTGTGGAATGGGCACAAACCAGGTGTGCTGAGGACTGGGATGGTGCTGGGCAGTGGGGGTGACCCAGGCCCTGTCATGGCATTGCAGGAGGAAGCCACAGACAGTGAAAAGGAGATCAATCGGCTCTCCATCCTGCCCTTCCCCCCCAGTGCCGGCTCCATCCTCCGCCGGCAGCGTGAGGAAGACCCCGCACCCCCTAAGAGGTGAGATGGCTGGGGATAGCAGTAGACACCCAGGGAGGTGGGGCTGCCGTTTCCCGAACAGCCACCTCCCAGAATCTGCAATGCCAAAGTCAGGTCCAGGCAGTCACTTCCCTTTATTGCCCTCAGATGGCTGGAGCTCTGGAAACCCAGGTCCTGTGAGTCACAGGGGCGACCAAGGTCAGGCTTAAGATAAGGCCGATGGGCAGAGCGAACTCAGTCCTAGCCAAGCATCCTGGCAGGAGGGTCACTGGGGGTCAAGCCTTGAAGATCCTATACCCAAGGAGAAGCTTGATGGTTCAGGACTAGGGGGCGTGGAGAATGTTTCAAGGTATCAGGGACCTCCGGCAAGAAAGCCAGGCCCCAGGTTTGGGCATCAGCAGCAAATAGGGACCAGAAAAACCAAGGCGCACCCTCTGGTGGCAAGACCAAGGGCGGGAGATAGCCTGCCTCCTGGGGCGCGATCCTTGTCACTGCTTTTCCCCTGTAAGCAGCCCTTGATTTATTCCTTTACTGGTGAGAGGCTGGGCCCTGGGAGGCTGTGGTCAGTATGGCCTTGATCTGCGTAAATCTGTCCCAAGGAGGTGTCTGATGAGGAGGTCATGGTTTAATTTAGGAGGCGTACCTGGGAGTCACAAACCACAAAGGTGGCAAGTGAGGGTGAGGTGAGGGGTGAGAGATCAGGGGTGGCTTCCAGGAGGAGGTGGCATTGAAAGAGCTGGCTTTGAAGGGCATGCCAGGGCATTGTAGGTGGAACAACATTGGACAGAGGCCAGGACATTAACTTCTTACCCTGGGAGTTTAGGGGAGCCAGGTGGCATGGGTGCCCTGTACCTGGGACCCTGCCTTGAGTCTAGCCTGCATTTGCTTGGGGGCTGTGAGACATTTATCTGGTGTGGGGGCAGGAGGAGGGAGCGGGGCAGAGTGCCCACTGTGCCTCACCTCCTGCCCCCTCCCTGCCCTCTCTCTGCCCAGATCCTTCAGCAGCATGTCAGACATCACAGGTAACAGCCCTTGAGTTCCGTGGGGAGGGCTCCTCTGGTCGGGGGAGGTGGCTTTGCAGCCCACCTGAAGCCTGCACCACCTGCGCTACCTTTGGCCTGCATCCCCTTCCCTGAAGCCCCGCCGTGGCCCCTGCCAGGCAGGAAGGTTGTGCTTGGGAGGACCCTGGGGACTTTGGTTCCAGCCTCTCACCCCGAGCCCAGTCCTGGGCCTCACTCCTGTTCCCGGCTGTGATGTACGAGGCTCTTCAGTTCTGGGCCACCTTTCACCCTCTTCTGGGAAACTGCGGGGTCAGCCTGGTGGGCCCTGACCTATCTCTGAGCCCAGTGGGTCTGATGTGCTCCTGGGGCCTCAAACCTGCCAAGGCCTCTCTGGGCTGGAGGGGGGTCAGTCCCTGTCATGGACCCTGGCCATCCCTGTTTCCCAGTGCCAGATCCCTGAACCTCATTCTTTTTCCCCAGGGAGTGTGACACTTAAGCCCTGGTCCCCTGGCCTCTCTTCGTCCTCATCCTCTGACAGCGTGTGGCCTTTGGGAAAGCCGGAAGGCCTCCTGGCTCGGGGCTGTGGCCTGGACTTCCTCAACAGGTACTGTAGCTGCCTGCAGTGGGTGGAGCTGGGGTGATTGCTTGAGAGGGGAACAGGAGTGAGGTGGGAGGAGCAATTGCCTCGCCCCTGTTTTATGCAACTATTGGAAGATTAAGATCTGTAGACACTGGCAGCCCTTGGATTCCAATCCTGCTGCCGCTCTTGATCGTCCCTGTGACTTGGGCTGGTCCCTTCACTTCTCTGGGCCTCCATTTCCTCAGTAGCTAAAGGGAGATGATGACCCTTTTTGCATGGAGGTCTTTTGAGGGCTCTGCTCGCAGAAGCAAAGCACCCAGCTCTGCCAGGCATGTAGCAGGTGCTTAGTAATAGTTGTCACTTACAAGCTGTCCTCGTCCCAATGTCCTGCCTGTCAGTCCCTTGGCTCTGAGTCCCTGGGACTGAGCCACCCAGCAAAGTTTCATGCTGTGGGTGGGCTTGGGTCACCTCAGGAGCCCCTGTGACCGGGCCAGCCACAGGTCCATAACAGGAGTCACAAAGCCCATTAGTGCAGAGTGCACTGTAGGCGACGTGCTGTTAGTGTGGCCGGTGCGTGGCCGCTGTTCACACCTGCCAGTGTATCTAAGGGAGGGGTGGGGCAGAGCGGGGGCTGCACGGCCATTGTGGTCTTGGAACTCAGCTGTGAGGAGAGGGCAGGTAGGGAGAGCATCCGGTGACTGTGGAGGAGGAGCGAGGGGGAAGGGCGAAAGTCAAGGCTTCCTGAGTCAGGCTGGGAAAGTGTGGACTTTGGCTTGTACACTCTGGGAAATGTGGGAGGGTTTAGTTATTAACTGCAAGGCCAGCTGCTGGCTGTTTTACAACATGCTCTTTGTCCAGGGAGTAGGCATAATGACGATTATCTCTGCTCCATAGAGGAGGTAACTGGGGCTCAGAGAGGTTAAGCAACTTGCCCAGGGTCCCACAGTTGGGAAGTACCAGGTCTGGGTTCATAGTGACCTGATCAGATTTGGGTTTTGGAAAGGGCATAGGAAACATGGACTGTCAGCGCTGGAATGTGGAGGTGTTGGGTGCAGAGGGATGGGTCACGCAGCAGATGGGTACAGCATAGGACCAGGGCCTCTGGCCTCCGGAGCGGCTTGGTCAGCCAGTGTCCAGGCCCTGCCCCCACCTGGCCCCCGGCAGTGGGCTCAGCGAGACATTGTTTTTGCCTGTGCAGGACGTGCTTCTCGGGGAAGGGGTGGAGGCGCCTCCCTTCCTGCTCGCCTCGGCCCTTCCTCCCTTCCTCCAGTTTGGGCTGCAGCAGGGGTCCTGGCTGTTGTCCAGGGGGCGCCAGGATGCAGCCAGGGAGCAGGAGCCTCCGTCCCAGCCCCGCCCAGGCCCCACGATCACATGGGGCCACTTCTGCTGCCCATGCTGTTCCTGGGGAGGAGAGAGGTTCCTGGGGAAGAACACAGGCTGGGGAAGGTGCAGAGGTGGTGGACAGAGAGAGAGAGAGAAAGAGAGAGAGAGAGGCAGACAGGCGGAGAGGAGAGGGAGAGGGAGATGAGGGCCCGGACAGGTCCCAGGTCGGGGCAACTTGTGTGTCTCCTGGGATTGTGTTATGGCGAGGTGGGAAGAGCTGGCTTTGGTGTCAGCACTTGCTACTGTGGGACCTTGGGCATGTCTCTGAATTTCCCAGTGCCTCAGTTTCCTGCTCTGTAAAATGGGCTCACATAGTGCCTGTCCCTTAGGGTCACTATGGGGGTTTGAGTATCCCTTCTAGAATGCTTAGCACACTCACGGTGGATGTCAGCATATGCTCGCGGTTAGTTATGATTATTGTCGCCATTGTTGTTTAATCCTCAGAGCAGCTCTGCAAGGCTGGAATTTTAACCTCGTTACACAGACCAGGACACTGAAGTACAGAGACAGTTAGAAATTGGTCCCAAGTCACAGGCCCCTCGGAGCTGGTTGGAGATTCCGATGTGCCTCCCCACTGTCTCAGCTGTTGGAGATCTCACATCCGTATTGTGTGCCCACTTTGTACTGGGCACCATGTTGGGCATTTTCTCTCCTCTTTCCCATTTCCTGCCCATCTCTTGCCCTCAGCCTCTCTGCCCTGCCCTTCTCAGCTCCTGGAGCCTGGGTGCCGGGAGGGGATGGTGGATAGTGGGGGGCTGGGGCAGACCGGGGGTTGGGCTGACAGATAGTCAGGTGGGGGACAGCAAGGGAGAACTCATGGGGCAAGTGAGGTGCTGGGTGAGAGAGGCAGAGCATGGAGAGCACTGGAGGGTTTCGGGGTGCCGTCTCCCCAGCATAGCCTCACCACTGCCCAGCTCGCTCACGTGGCCCCAGGGGATCTCTGGCACCTTCTGTCCTTGCAAAGAGAGGGTTCCCATAAGTCATTGCCTGGCTCCACGGCCCACTAGCTGTGCCCATTCTTGGCAAGTTAACTTTCCTGTGCCTCAGTTTCCCTTATCTCAACCATCGGGTTGTCAGGAGGATTGACTGAGGTGATCTGTGTGGCATGCTTCAGTCTCAGCATCAGGTCCCTGACCTGGTACCAAGCAGGCACGCAGACTACTCAGATATCTTCCCACGGGGCCCTGGGGGACATTCATTGAGGCCATGTGGCCTGTCACTGCTCAGAGCTGGCAGAGCTGGCAGACTTGCCCCGTTCCTGTCTGCCTGTGACCTGACCTGACTGGGGAGGGGGCTGGGAGCTGGTAGCTAAGGACACTGTGCTTCCTAGTACCACACAGGCAGCCAGCTGGTCAGCCAGTCCCAGGAGCGGGGAGCAGGCAGCCCCTCTCCCTGCTGTGTCCTTTCTCTACCCCTCCTGCTTGTCTGCTGAGGCGGGGGGCTGGGAGGAACCCTATCTGGACCCTGCTCTGGGCAAGCCCCTGTGGGCTCTGCAGACTCCGAGGAGTGCTGGGAGCAGGTATTCCTGGTCTGTGGAGGCTCAGAGAAGTCACTGGTCCTTTGAGGAGGTTGGCAAGGGCGTCCTGGAGGAGGGGGCGCCTGAGCTGGGTCTTCAGGGAGCTGCAGGAGTTGTCAAGAAGAGCCTGAAAAACCTGAGTTGAAAGCTGAGGTCAGCCTTGATGCTTGCATTGCAGAGGGGAGAGGTGTGGAGGAGGGAGCGAGTAGAGGTGGGTGGGGTGGGTAGGGTTGGTGGAAGAGCCTGGATGCCAGCTGCTTACTGGGCTCTGGTCTGGAGAGGCCATGATGGTCAGTTGTCTGTGGGTTTGAAACAGGTGGGGAAACTGAGGCAAGCGAGAGGTGATTTGTTGTGAATCACACCTGATGCCAGTAAATGTCTAGTTTTGACAGAGCACTTAGTGTCTCCTGGGCCCTGTTCTGAGAGCTGCCCATGTCTAAACTCAGCGAGTAGCCAGGGAGGTGGGTGGAGCTGAGGCTCAAGCGGCTGAGCAGCTGGGCCGTTTGACCCCAGAGTTCCTGCTGGCACCCTGCGTGCTGTGCTTCTCGGACCATCTGACCACAACCCACAGTGAGAGAAACCCGGTACACATGCCTGGAACAAAAAGGTCATGAGATAATAATTGGATTTACCTGGGGTGGCGGGAGCGGGGTGGGGGATAGCATTGTACTTTCTATTCCATAGCATTATCCAGCTGTCCCAGTCGCAACCCAGTGAATGTTACCAGCCACTAAGGGCCAGGCCTGCAGTTTGGAGGCCCCAGAGTCCTCTGGTTTCCACCTCTCCCTGCATTATCTTTTATTCATGTGCCCCCCCCCCCCACCCCCCAGCACCCACAGAGGGCAAGGGGTGTCATTGTCAGCTTCGTGTTATGCATGTGGTAACTGACGCTCAGCAGCCGGCTCATTTGCCCAGGCTAGGGTGCAGTTTGCCCTGGGGTTTGGAGCGGACCGTGTGCTCCAGCCACAAAGCCAGGGCCAGCATAGCCAGGCCAGGTCTCAGGCCTGCCCCCTTTCCATGCCACCTCGATGCAGCCAGGACATGCGGCACTGAATGATGCCTCCCATGCCTGCATCTGTCCAGCCCCTCGGCCTGGCTCTGTGTCTTACCTGAGAGGGCGGGGCTGTTCCCCAGCAGTGCCGATTGGGTGGGAGGTCCTTGCAGCCGCGCCCTCCCCAGGCTGGCAGCAGGGGGCAGTGCAGCTGTGTCTGGGCTGCAGCTGCTGGGGTGGATGGAGATGCTTCGCCCCGCTGCCTCTCCAGCCAGCACACCTGCTGACCTTGGTCTCCCCACCTCCTCCAGGCCAAGGTGTCTGGCAGGGGACTTGGGGTCCATTTGTCTCTGAGCCTGGCCACAAGGCCTCACCTTTTCTCATCCAGGGACAGGCAGAACCCTACCATGATGGGGATTTTGGTGACGTCTTAATTGTCAGTGGTCCTCCTGCCCATGGGAGGAAAACCAGACGCCTCTGTTCCACGCCCTCCAAAGGGTGGCTCCAGCTTGCCTTTCCTGGGAGCTGCTTCCCAGGATGTAAAATAAGAATTAGGGCAAGGAGCTCAGCATGGTGTCTGGCACATGGAAAGCACCCAGGAAGTGTTCGCTGCTATTGTTATTATTAAATTCTTCCACGCATCCTGTGTTCTGTCCTCCACACCTTTGCTCTGATATATTCCTTCAGCCTGGAACTCTGTTTCCTCCATCTGTCACCAAAGTGCATCTATTCTTCACCAGCGTGTAGCCTAGGTACTTCTTCCGTGGGAAGCCTCTCTCTGCTTCCACGGCTGGTTGTAACCACCTTTGGATCTGTGCCACGTGCTAATGGTGACCTCCCTCCTCAGACTGTGAGCATAACAAGCTTTTTTTTTTTTTTTTGAGACAGAGTTTCAGTCTTGTTGCCCAGGCTGGAGTGCAGTGGCTCGATCTCGGCTCACTGCAACCTCTGCCTCCTGGGTTCAAGCAATTCTCCTCCCAAGTAGCTGGAATTACAGGCGCCCACCACCACGCCCGGCTAATTTTTTTGTATTTTTAGTAGAGATGGGGTTTCACTATGTTGGCCAGGCTGGTCTCGAACTCCTGACCTCATGATCCGCCTGCCTCGGCCTCCCAAAGTGCTGGGATTACAGGCGTGAGCCACCGTGCTTGGCTATATAACAAGCTTTTATTAGTCATCTGCTATGTGCCAGACACTGGGTTTGGTGCCAGGGCTACAGAGCGGAACAGTATAGAAGTTTGGTCCTGAAGGTGTTCGTTCTGATGGAGGAAACGAAAGGGCCGTGGCAAGGCA